>NC_000010.11:8191818-8343333 GCF_000001405.40 Homo sapiens | reverse complement strand
TGCTTTCTTCTCTTCCCCTGCAGGTTTTGGTCCCGAGAGCAATCTACCAGGAACCTCTTGCATACTAACCTCCATCTCAGTGTCTGCTTCTTAGGGTATTTGACCTGCAGCACCTACCTTTCCCAAGTCTGGGATAAGTACCCTTCCTGCATGTGTTATTAGCATCTAATATTTACTACCATTGTGCCACTATTTTAATTTTCAATAGATACACTGATCTCCCTATCAAAACTCTAAGTTTCTTAAAAGCAGGGACCATGTCTCATTCACCTTAATATTCCCAATACCAAGAACATATTAAATGTTCAGTAAATACATGCTGAGAGAACACATCGATTAGTAAATGGATACAGCTAAGTATAATACTTATACTTAAGGAGGTATACTAGTTAGCGTAATGCTCATTACTACAACAAGTAACCCCCAATTATTCTAAGAATTACAGTTTTTAGCATAATAGACCAGGTGTTGACAAACTTTTTTTGGTAAAGGACAAGATAGTACATATTTTCATCACTGAGGGCTGTGCAGTCTCTGTTGTGACTACTCAACTCTGCTGTTACAGAACAAAATCAGCCACATATAACAAACTATTTATAAAAATAGGTGGGGGGCCATATTTGCCACCCCTTTCCCTGTAATTGCTGATCAACTCTTGTTCGTGTAATAGTCAATGTGAGAATCACTGGTTAGTGGTCATCTCTCTTCCTTGTGGTAATTCAGAGGTTTGCATTGCTTCCACTTTGTGCCTCCACCATCCTCTAGGGTCTCAGAGTCCTCTAATTACAGCTGTTAACAGGGAAAAAAGACACAGCTGCTTCCTAAAATCTTTGTCCTAGAAATTAAACATGTTAACTTCCACTCACGTCTCATTGGCAACAGCTAATCACGTGGCATACTTCAGTGCTAGGGACTTGGGAGATGTGGTCTCTTGCAAGGCAACAGCTTCTCAGCAATCCCTCCAAATTATCAAAGAGGGACATGAAT
Source organism: Homo sapiens (assembly GCF_000001405.40). Taxonomy (NCBI): domain Eukaryota; kingdom Metazoa; phylum Chordata; class Mammalia; order Primates; family Hominidae; genus Homo; species Homo sapiens. The sequence continues at coordinate 8,342,346 of NC_000010.11, read as the reverse complement.
GTGTAGGAGACAGCTACTTGTCTCTACCAATGGAGAGGAAAATGTCTGCATTTTGATCAAACAGTCCTAAGAAATTGCTTCTAATCTCTTTTTTTCTGTCTTTCTCCTAAGAAAGTATATGGTTTTCATAAAATATGTTATTCATTCATTTATTTATTTTCTCATGGAGGGATTCAGTGATAAGCCAAAGACACATGAACCACACTGGCAAGGAATGATGTCTTTCTAAATAAATCTGATAATCACACAGACATGAAATCACCTTAGTGATAAGAACAGTTATTACCAACTTTGATTTGGGGAGTCCAGAGTGGTTCAGCAAAGTCATATGTGAAGTCATATCTTAAAAGAATCCATTTAAAGTTGCCTAAAGAGACAAGAGCATTTCAGACATCAGACACAGCATGATCCTGTATCCTAAGAGCAATGAAAAGCTATTGTATTTTCAGCAAGAGGGCATCATGATGGAATTTATATTTCAGAAAGATCACTTTGGCTCCACTGTTGAGAGTAGCTTGGAGAGTGCATGGAGATCAGTTAGGGAATCACTGCAATGGTCTGTGATAGAGAAGATTGGATAATAAGAAGGCTGTAGACATGGGAAGGAGTGGATGGATCCACGAGATATATGGAAGGTGAAATCAGGAGGATACAATATTGCACTACACATGGAAAGGTCAGAAAGAGAGAAGAATTAAGAGCAACTGGTGCTGACGTAGTCTGGATATTTGTCCCCACCTAAATCTCATGTTGAGTTGTAATCCCCAATGTTGGAGATGAAATCTAGCGGGAGGTGTTTGGGTTATAGGGGTGGATCCCTCATGGCTTGGTGATGTCTTTGCAATAGTGAGTGAGTTCTCATGAGATCTGGTTGTTTAAAAGAGTTCATATGAGATCTGGTTGTTTAAAAGTGTGTAGCACCTCCCTGTCTCTCTCTCTTGTTCCTATTCTGGTCATGTGAAGTGTCTGCTCCCCCTTCACCTTCTGCCATGCTTGGAAGCTCCCTGAGGCCTCCCCAGAAGCCTAGCAGATGTCAGCGCCATCCTTCCTCTACATCCTGCAGAACCATGGGCCAATTAAACTTCCTTTCTTTATAAATTACCCAGTCACAGGTATTTCTTTATAGCAATGCAAGAACAGCCTAACAAAGGTACCATATTCTAAGAACAAGAAGCAGTTTTGGGCAAAAGAAAATCAGGATTCAAGGAGAAGATTTCGGCTTCAGTTTTAGACATGTTGAGCCAGAAGTGTCTTTACAATATTCAAGAAGAGATAACAGGAAAAAAAAAAAGACTATTGGCTTTAGCAACATGGAGATCTCTGGTAACTCTAAGAAAGCTAACTCAGCAGAGCCATGGGATTTGGTTGAGTGAGTAGGAGGTGAGGAAATGTGGACACTGAATATAAAGAACACTTTAAAGATGGTAACTGGAAGAGAAGGAGAGAAATGAAGGAGAGAGTTTCAGGAGGAGGCCTTTGAAACCTTGAGAGAAGTAACTATAATTAAATGCCAACAGGAAGATCTTGTTAAAGAGAGGGATGTTGAATATGTAGGGAAAAGAAGGGATCATCAATAATGTAAGTTTCTTAAGAAAGTGGGAGTGGATGGGATGCAAACCAAAGATGAAGAGACTGGTTTTAGCTCGGAGAAAGGAAACCTCTATTGTCCAGAAGAGAAAGAAGAAATAATAGATGTAGATAAAAAAAAATTTTCATGTTTGGATACTGAGAAGCTGAAGAAGTTCCCATCTGTTTGTTTTTATTTATCATATCAAGGTCATTTGTTGGGATAGAGTCAAGGTCATTTGTTGGCATAGAAGAACCAGGATGGGATGGGGCAGAGGGAGGAAGATTGATCAGAGGTTCTAAGAGTAGAAAGTATTTGAAATAGCATTATGTAAAGTGGGAGAATGAGCTGACCCAAGAAACATAAAGGGATGACGGAGCTGTAACAGCCCATTTGAGGCCAGTGACATTAATTTATAAATATTAGAGTGATACCAATCTGCCTTCTTATCTGACTTCCTACTGCAACACTGGGGAATGGGGGTTTCAAATAAATTGATTAGCAAAGACAAAATTAGAATATCTAATTGCCAATTTGTAGTATATACATTTTTACCCAATCCACCCACCCTCTTAAAAGGAGAGTGAAAGGGTATAACATATTTTGAGCAGTTACATACATTAATAATTGAATTCTGACAACACCTTGTATGGTAAACAGTATATTCATTTTACAAAGAGAAGATAGAAGGTGGGATTCATTCATTATATCATAAAATCAGAGCAAGAGCCCACATTTTTTCCGCTATGTCATGTTGCTACACCTTTCAAACAGGGTTATATTACGTGAATCTAATCACATCTTCCCATCCCAAAGAAATGTCAAACCAGCGGCATCTAGAAGCCCTCTAAGCTTCCACTTTAAAAATGTGCTAACAGGCAGGCTCTGCTTAGGACTCAGGAATTAATCAAACTTCATTGTACCTCTTGACATTATCTACTTTTTAACAGAAGAGCCTATGAACTGAATTCTGGCCAATCATCTCCCAAATACTAACCTGACTCTACCCAATGCGTAACACCTGGCATTCACTTTCACAGATTATTAAACAATTGATATCATATTTTAATAAACTAAAACTTAATAACGAAAACGAATTGTCATCCTCCTCCCATTGCTACTCTCTCTCCCTCACCTCCAAAGAAAGGTGAACTACAGGTCTTCTGTGAGTTTTTAAGGAAAACAGCTGAGACTGTATTGATACAAGTCAAAAATTACCAACAATCATTTGAATTCCCCATTCTTACCATTGAAGAGGGACAATGGCCACTATGGGGCTCAGAAATTACGGGGGAACGTCTCTAGATGGATATTAATAATTTGCCGTATCTGTGAGCACTTTCTAATTAAGAAGAGGAATTTCAAATGCTCTCTAACACTGAGGGATTTATTCTTCAACATATTTTTGTACAGATCTAGAGTTGAACGAGATTGATTGCTACCTTTATAAAATTATAGCAATCGGCTGGGTGTGGTGGCTCATGCCTGTAATCCCAGCACTTTGGGAGACTGAGGTGGGCAGATCACGTGAGGTCGGGAGTTTGAGACCAGCCTGACCGACATGGAGAAACCCTGTCTCTACTAAAAGTACAAAATTAGCCAGGCATGGTGGCACATGCCTGTAATCCCAGCTACTCGGGAGGCTGAGGCAGGAGAATCACTTGAACCCGGGGGGCAGAGTTTGCAGTGAGCTGAGATCGTGCCATTGCACTCCAGCCTGGGCAACAAGAGCGAAATTCTATCTCAAATATATATATATATTTTGCCATATATATATATTTTTGTCATATATATATATATATATGTTTGCCATATATATGGAGAGCACTTGCCTTAAGCAACCGTGTGAAAATACTGTCTACAACATTGGGTTAAAATTGAATTCTTCTCTCAAGAAATGCATCCATCTCGCCCTCTCCCTTTTTCTCTAGCAAACTTACCCATGAGGTCCAGTTGTTGAAATAAAATCTTGTAATGCCACGTCCGTGGTACCAGGGCCAGTCCCCAGCCTGCAATGGACACCAGGCCTCACAACATCATAACAATTTTTAGATTTCAAAGGAACTTAGGCGTTGTCTTTCCAGCCTAACGCCTATAGTTCAGAGATGAGAAAACAGAGACCCAGAAAGATGAAGTCACTTGTCTAAAGCCACACAGCTAGTTAGCAGGACTTGGACTAAAACTCAGGCCAGAAACTGTGATGTGCTACTGAGAAGATGTATGTCCTAAACAGAGGGTGGCAGATGAACATGAAAGGGTCGAATAGTAATTCATGACTCTGAAAATGACTCTAAGGAAATTAAAGAGAAAACTAACAGATGGAAAACACCAGTAAAAGTCAAGTCTCTCTTTCTGACACAACACCCCTAAGAAGCAAAGAAGTAAAAGCAATGAACATAAATGTGATGGTGGCCACACAGGTGTTTAGGTTAAGGTGTGTATTACGTTTTCATCTGAGGAAAACAGTCAAAGAAGGGAAAACAGAATGCCTTTCTCTTCTACTTTCACAAATGGAAGTCAGACCTTTTTCTCTTCAAAGGAAGAAGAAGAAGGAGTATTTGTTATTGTTGTTGCTGTTCTTAGATAAATTTTTAAAGCTGAGACGGGAATGCACCTCTCATACCTTGCAGTGATCAAGCTGTGGACCATTTACTCCTAAAAATAGATGTATTGTATTATTCTTAACATATTAATATTATCTCAGCTGGTATTTCTTTTCTTTTTTTTTTTTTTGAGACGGAGTCTCGCTCTGTCGCCCAGGCTGGAGTGCAGTGGCGCGATCTCCGCTCACCGAAAGCTCCGCCTCCCGGGTTCACGCCATTCTCCTGCCTCAGCCTCCAGAGTAGCTGGGACTACAAGCGCCCGCCACCACGCCTGGCTAATTTTTTGTATTTTTAGTAGAGACGGGGTTTCACTGTGTTAGCCAGGATGGTCTCGATCTCCTGACCTCGTGATCCGCTGACCTCGGCCTCCCAAAGTGCTGGGATTACAGGCGTGAGCCACCGCGCCAGGCACTCAGCTGGTATTTCTTATAAACCCGTAGAGGGCCTATTGAAATCATTGTTGAATGGTACTGAAAATATTACAGGTCTATAAAATGTGATTTCTAGTTTATTTTTCCCAAGTGAGAACTCATGCCCCCAACATTGTTTCATTATTTTCCCCTCTTTAATTTGTTGAGTTTTAACGTGTTCATGTTGAAATAGCACTTTCCCTTTCCATTAAGGGAAAATGCTCATAAAATAATTTAAACGAGGTTTCACTTCTTAGAGTTCAAGCAGTGAGATTGTTTACCTCCCTGCAAATGGACTCATGGCCCCGCCCAAAGGTCATTCCAAATCTGCTGAAAGTGAACAGGCTTTTTCAGGGGACTGTTAACACAGACGTTAAATTACTTGTGCTGGATAAATATGCAGAAGTGGGACTGCTGGATGATCTCGGGGTTCTATTTTTAATTTTTTGAGGAGCCTCCGTATTGCTTTCCGTGAGGTATCTAAAGCGGTCAAACTCACAGAAGCAGAGAATGGAGTGGTGGCTGTCAGGGTTCGGGGGCGGGGGAAAGGGGAGTTGTTATTTAATGGGTGTAAAGTTTCAGTTACGCAAGATGAGAAAGTTCTAGAGATCTGCTGTACAATGCAGTGCTTATTGTGAACAATACTGTAGTGTACATTTAAAAATCTATTAGGGGGTCGATCTCATGTTAGGTGTTTTTTTACCAACATTTTTTCAAAGTAAAAAATAATTACTTATGCTGTAACGAGTGCAATAAACAAAACAACAAAGACTGTTTGAAGGTATCTGCGGGGCATTCATGCTTCGAGAACTCCGCTCAGATTCGTTAGAAGGGTACAGAAAGAAATCTGAGGTCATACCCGCTCAAGGAGAGGTTTGTTTAGTCCTGTTTATTTAATGTCAAAGGTCATAGCTCTTGTTGCTGTGAAGTGTTCTCGATGGTTCTCAGAGAGGTATGCTTTTCTGCCGTGAGATCACAGGTGGAACTATTGCTACACGTGCACTGTAAGTAAAAGTCAACACCGGGAAGCACCTTACAGAAATAACAGAATACAGACCACATCAGCCTGGAGACCGAAGGTTTGGTTTTCCCTTGTGCCTCCCCTCCCCATTGCTGGAATGAGGTTATACGTCAGCTACACATCATTTCCGGAGCAGTTTCACCAATGATTAAAAAATAAAAATTTTAAAAAAGGCCCTCTCGGCCTCCCCAAACAGGCTGTGATATAATTTTAGCATAAAAGATTTGTGACTCCATTTTGTCATTTTTCGTACATGCAAGAAACAGAAATAGTTCAGTGACCAAAAAGCTATTCAAATTTCTCAATTATATTTTCTTAATAAAATAGTTACAAGGATCTATATACATATATATATACACACGTATATATATTCTACATATGTATATATACACACATATACACACATATATCATTGTAAATGTATATGTATTTCATATATATTTACAATTTGTATCATATCTCATATATGCATATATATACATATATGAAAGAAGAAAAGAAGAGAGAGGGGGAGAGAGGGAAGGAGAGGGTAAAAGTTGTTCACACCTGGTTTTTACGGAAGCCAACGAATATGTTTCCAGGAAGTCGATGGCTGCCTATACCTTATCCTAATTGAGTGTTAGCTTGGAGCCAAATCTCATCACTTTCCTACCACATTGGTTTTTGGAGAGGTAGGCAGTCTGTCACCCAGGCTGGAGTGCAGTGGCACAATCACAGCTCACTGCAGTCTCCAACTCCTGGGCTCAAGGGATCATCCCACCTCAGCTTCTCATGTAGCTGGGACCACAGGCATGCAACACCACACCCAGCTAATATTTTATACTTTTTTTTTTTTTTTTTTGTAGAGACGGGGTCTTGCTGCATTGCTCAGGGGCTGGTCTCAAACTCCTGGCCTCAAGTAATCCTCCTGCCTCAGCCACCTACCACATTTTTCCTGCAAATTTGCTTAATGTAGGATAGCACAACCAGACACACTCAATCATTTCTCTAAAGCTCTACTTCTGTGTAGGAACAAAGAATGAAGTAGGAGAATCAGACATTCCCTGAGAAGAATGCTTTATTTCATTCATGCCTCATATGGTCCAGTTACTATTACTAGTCAGGGAATCTTCCTGTTTCTCCAATTGGATACATTAAAAAATTAATGGGAATAAGAAAAAGCTTTGGGAAATCTGCTCTTAACTGGCACATGAGATAGTGATCCACTGTCCTTGCCCAGTTAAACCTTTGACAGCCTCCATCCAGGTCAGTAATACCTTGCTTTCATCCAGAAAGGGACAACTTGTTTCTCTTTGAATCAACTTATCCTCTGATCCTAACAGAAGGCGAGCCTCCAGCCTTGGGGACAGAGTACCAGGTATGAATTCCAGCTATGCTGAGTGACGTGGGGAAGCCACCTAACATTTCTGAGCCCCTAGATGTTCATCTGTGAAGCACAGGTCATGTTATTTGCTTCAAAGGATTGTGCTGAGGCTCAAGGAAAATAGATGAAAGTGCTTTCTAGAACTCTGATGATAGAACTGAAAGCTAGAATGCACCTGTTTAGTGAAAGATGTGGACTGCAGGAAGTAGATTTCTAATATGAGGTGACCACCAGAAGACATCTACCCCTATCGAGGCTGATTGTCTTTTCCAAGGTAGTGTAATATAATATGAAGGGTCTGGGGGTTCCGTTTCAAGAGGACTGTATTAGAAGATCACTGTAAGAATAAATAAATACATATCTATATGCACATGCACGTAGGCAATATTCATCATTAAGGGTGTGAGCCCCTGAGCCAGATTCTCACATTCGAATCCAAGCTTTGCCACTTCCTTCCTGGGCCCAATCTCCCCATTTGTAAAATGTGGATAGGGTGGTTGATAGGCGAAAATGTGTTAACACACATCAGCTACTTAGAACAGAGTCTGGCACATGATAAGCTATGTTAGGATAGGGATTTTGCCTGGATTTTCCACCACTGAGGACACAGGACATAGAACCATAGAATGACTGACACCATGTAGTAAGCGCTCAACGAACAGTCATTAACAGAAAGAATTTGGAAAGCAAGAAGATTCCCTTACAGGAGGAGTGAACTCGACTCTGTCCTTCTCGACTTTGTGTGGTGTCTCAGGGCCTCAGCAACCATTTTTTATAAATTGAAGCAGTTTGGACTCAAGAGTCCCTAAGGCCCTCTTGAGTTTGAAAGACTCGAGTAATTTTAACTATATTTTAAAATCTCAGGCCGGGTGCAATGGCTTACATCTGTAATCCCAGCACTTTGGGAGGCCAAGGTGGGTGGATCACTTGAGGTTGGGAGTTCAAGACCAGCCTGGCCAACATGGCGAAACCCCACCTCTACTAAAAATACAAAAATTAGCCGGGCGTCATGGCATGTGCCTGTAGTTCCAGCTACTCCAGAAGCTGAGGTGGGAAAATCACCTGAGCCCGGGAGGTGGAGGTTGCAGTGAGGTGAGATCATGCCACTACACTCCAGTCTGGGTGACAGAGCGAGACTCTCTTTAAAAAAATAAAAAATTTTATGAAAGAATTCACATTCACACACCTTCAAACTTTGCTGGGTGTCTTTTTTCTCTTTTCAAAAAAAGGTTTAAAATCTCCCTACTTTACTTTCCATATTCCTCTGTCCCCAGGGGATGAGGAATAGACTCTCCCTTATTGAATAGCAGAGCTGTAATCTGCAGGAACAATTACTTCTTTACTTCTGCTGGCAAATCTTCAGGGCTGTGATCAAGGTGAGAACGGGAACGGAGGAGAGAAGTGCTGCTGCTTTTCTGAGCTCTAATGTGCTTCATAGTATAGTCAAGGATTGGAATAATAATAATAATAATTATTATTATTATTATTATTATTATTTCCTTCCCTGATACACAAGAGCAGGGCACACTGAAGTTGTTGACTCAACAAATGGCCAGGGTCTGAAAGTGACAAGATATTGATGGAAAGGCATACTCCCCGGCCATTCTGTTCACAAGGTACATGAAGTGGCTTCATTGAGACCCCATTAGGGAGCAAGTTCAAAATCTAAGGGAGGGGAAAACAGTTTGCAAAGCTAAATGATCCCAATTTGGGGAAGGGGTGGTAGTAAGAAGCACAGAACAAAGCTTAGAAAAGTATACACCAGAATGATGTATATTCTACATAATGGTTATTTTCTAGTGGAATTATGGGCTGTCAAAAAAACTAAACACTTTTTATTAACTTTTAATGGCAAAAACCACAATTATTTTGCATTAACCTAATATTTAAAAAGAGATCCCTGCACAATGTGAATATACTTAATGCCACTGAGCCATACACTTAAAATGGGTTAAATGGTAAAACGTGTTATTTTCACAATTAAAAGATAAAATAGTAAGTAATAAAAATAATAAAAGATGTAAAAGCAGTGTGATACTAAGAAGGGCTTAGCCAACCCCCAAGGGCACTGAGGCATACCTCACAACCAATAGGTAACAGGGGTTCTGGTCTCCCTAATTCTCAGCTGGACTCTGGAGAAAAATCAGAAATGCAGATTCCTGGAGGGGTAAATCAACTCCTGCCCCTTTCCCTGTGCCATCTTAATTCTCACTGGCACCTGCCACACCATCACCGGGAAGAGGCCATGTCCCCAGTGGACGTTATACTTCAATGTTTCAGAAACCTGAAGTTACAACCCGATGCCTTTACATCAGAAAAGAGAAGAGAAGAGAAGAGAAGAGAAGAGAAGAGAAGAGAAGAGAAGAGAAGAGAAGAGAAGAGAAGAGGGGGAGGGGAGGGGAAGAGAGGGGAAGAGAGGAGAGGAGAGGAAGAAAGAAAGAAAGAGAGAGAAAGGAAAAGAAAAGAAAAAAGAAAAAAAAGAAAAGAACGAAAGAAAAAGAAAGGAAGGAAGGAAAAAAATTATAATGGAGATGGGGGTGGGTACAGCAGGAAGAGAAACAAGCATTGCCCAACCACCAGGGAACGGGCGAGGGGCTTCAGAAACAGGTTTGCCCTTTTGCAAGCAGCTCCGCGGATGCAACATTTTGCACCTCATTTCTCTTGCTCATCGCACCCCCAGGCTGGACGCGCGGGGCCGGGGCTGCAGTGGCTACCAGCAAACTCCAAGCCGGCTGCAGCAGGCACGGGCTCGGGAGTGCAGAGCTCAGCATGTTTCTGCAACTGTTTTGATGATGCTTTTGAGTGTTCCCATCACTACCGAGATGCTGCCGCTCTCCTCATGACCACAATCTATTAGCTCCAGTAGCTTTTGAGCGACTCAGCTCGGCCGCAGCTTCCTGCTTACCGTGCGCGCTGCCTGGGGCGCTGCCAGCCCAGCCGCGCGCGGGGACCACGCGGTGTGGGCGCTATGCCACCGCCCCCAGCACCTCCCTCTGCCGCTGCCGCCCAGAGTCCTGACTCTTACGAGATGTTTCTTTTTACAAAGATCATCGTAAGCCCTTCTCAACAGTTCCTGACAGTTCATGATAAGCTGTCACTGCAGACATCCTGAAGAACACACAGCTTAGTGCCTGTGATTCTCATAAGAGAATTCTCAAGCAACATTTACAAGTCCAGATCCCGGGATCCAGGGAGGCTAGGAAGCACGTGGAGCTCAGAAAGGGGCTGGCTGCATCCTCTGCTGAACAATTAGATCTTGTGTATAAGACACGATTCTGGTACTAGTTTTGTTTTGTTTGTGGTCTTTGGGTGAAGATTTTGCAACCGTGTGTGTGTGTGTGTGTGTGTGTCTGTGTGTGTGTGTCTGTGTGTGTGTGTGTACCTTGCATACAATCCAGAGGAGGAAAAAAGAGATAAAAAGATCTGAAATATAAATGCTTTTCACAATACTTTGGTATAAATTTGGGATTAATTCGAAAGTTCTTGATTGTAAATAATAAACTTTCCCCAAGAAAAGGAGTACGATGAACTTTCTTTAAGAAAAAAAAAAAAAATCCAATGCATTTCACATGACCAAGGATTGCACAGATGCATTTCTGGACCAAGGAGGAGAAGATTGAACGTTGGAGGGGGGCTGCCCGTCTGACTTCCTCACCTGTTCGAGGGGGTCGGGAAGGGGGGTTACCGCTAAGTCATCACTTTTTTATGTGTGTCGGTTAAAACTACAAAGGCAACCAAAAGGAGGTCTTATCCGTTTTTTGTGAGCTTCAGTTGGGAGCAGCAGGTAGAAGAAGCTGCACTCTGGTTTTACTTTTTCACCACCGGGACCTATAAATAGATGAGGCTGTGTGGCTTTCTCGCTGAGTTACCTCCACCTTCTTGCCTGGGACCTCACGATCCAGGCGGCTCTAACTCCCACATGAACATTCGCAGCTCACTGCCCCCGCAGTCATTTTCCACAACATGTGTGTGACATGAAGAAGTGCGTCTCAGCATGGTGTGTTTGTGTGTGTTGTTGTTATTTTTGTTTTAGCGTTGAGTTCTAGATGTCTTCCGCCCACACTGCCAACTCTGGAAGCAAGGCTTTCTAAATGTCTCGAAGAGGTCCTCGATATTTGTTGAAGGAAGAAAACATTGCTCTTGGTTATTTTTGCTCCCCATGTATCCAAAAATACACTAACTTTTATGTTTCATAACTATTCAATACTAGTCCCTCGGCCGCTCTTACATGATGATGTACAGTGTTTATCTGCCAGGCCGCGTTTTGTACAAACTGCCTTTACTCTCCCCAACTATTTGGTAAAGAAAATTATTTTCACTTTTTTTGTTGTTGTTGTTTGTTTTTGTTTGTTTTGAGAGGGAATATTGCTCTGTTGCCAGGCTGGAGTGCAGTGGAGTGATCTCGGCTTACTGCAACCTCCACCTCCCGGGTTCAAGCGATTCTCCTGCCTCAGCCTCCTGAGTCACTGGGATTACAGGCGTGCGCCAACACACACAGCTAATTTTTGTATTTTTAGTAGAGCTGGGGTTTCACCATGTTGGCCAGGATGATCTCAATCTCCTGACCTCGTGATCTGCCCGCTTCAGCCTCCCAAAGTGCTGGGATTACAGGCGTGAGCCACCGCGCCCGGCCTATTTTCACTTTTAGTAAATGGAAATCTGGGTATCAAGAGAAGTCAGTTTCTATTTACAACTAAGCCATTAGCCCACTGTGGGTATGAAGCCACCTAAAATCTCCATCTCTCAGGCCATCAAATGAAATGATCCCTCCAACCCAGTTCTCAGGGCATTGAGCAATGCAGCGACCGTGAACCACGCGAGGTCCTTGATTTTTTTACACATTAGAAAGAAGACAGATTTCTGGTCCATGCTTTCCTCCAATTTGTCCAAATGTGAGCAAAATAAATAAGCAAAGAGGACATGCCCCCACCAACACACACACACACACACACACACACACACACACACACACACACCCAGTTTTTTCCTTCTGTTTTTTTCCTAATTCCACCAAACCTGTCTAAAAATCAGAAAGCAGTTGCTCTGGCAGTTCTATTATCCTACTCTCCTCTCTCCTTCCAGTATGTCTCCAGTTCGATGAATATTTAGGTGCTCAAAACTAAAACATACAGGGAACTCCCTGCTCTCTTCTAATAACGAGTTTCAATCATCAGGTTGGCTGACATTTTAGTCATTTATATCAACCTTCAATGCTTAATTATGTTTCACAGGTCCATTGTCAGTTGCAGTTGCTCACAACCTAAGACTAATATGGTCAGAACTGTTCACAGGTTTGAATCCCTAAGAACCAGTTTATGCCTCTTGGGTCCATGATCATACTCGTTACTAGCTATGACTTCCCTCTTGGAGCGATATAAATTGATCAGCAAGGAAATACAGCGAGAGGGGAGTCAGAGACCAGAAACCACCATTCACCATCTTTGTAAGTGAAGTTCCCAGAGGGAGTATATGAATTGCTCAAGAAGTGGTAGGTTTTATTGTCCCAAATTCTGCAAGCCTGCCAATCTTTGCTAGCCTGGCCAGAGGCAATCAGAGTCCCAAAGAAAACAATTTCATCTTTCCCTTTGCATGAATATTGATTGAATATATCCTTAAAGATATGGTAAAAAATGAAGCTCCTATTTGCCCAAAAAAGTCCTTCCAAAGTTTTCTGTACTTTCCTAGTTCAAAGACAATTACTGAACCAGGAGACTCTTCAAAGAATCCTACAGAAAGAAGCAAAGCCAGAAATAGCCAACCTGAGGTCTAAATTTTTAGAGTGATCAAATTTGGGAACTTTACCTGACAACTGCCCTAGAAATTTGAAGATGTTGAAAAAGTAGCAATTATTTCATAATCACTCCCGCTTCCTCCCTTGCCTGGTTTGTCCCATTTTTTTGACATTTCCTTGACACATCCCATGCACAGACATCTTGACAATTAATTAACTAACCTTCACAAAACTCCTCTGAGGTAGATGGATGAAAAGCTCTGCAGCTTTATCTCCACTTTCCAGGAAACTAAAAACAGAAAGGTTATGACTTACCCAAAAGTCACACAGCAAGCTTGCAAAAGAGCTGGGGTTGGTAGCAATGAACTCTGTCTCAAGCCAAACCATTGCAACTCTGGTTCTAAAGGAATATTCCTGATTAACCACAAATTCAGTCTGGTTGCCTAGACCGAGTTCAATTCTCTGCTACTTCCTAAAGGAGTAGCCTTGGACAGGGTTGGCCAGAAAAAATAGAATTTAATTCAACTTAATAGGCAGAGAAAAAGGACAAGGAAGATCGTCAATAAAGAATCTTTCATTCACACAGCCAACCTGTCAACCAGTCAACGTAATGTGGCATTGCAAATACAATGAATACAGAAATATACGCGAGTAGGAAAATGTTAGGTTCCTGGTACTGTCAGAGGAAAACAAAGACTTATATAAACAAAGGCCAAAGTGGCTGGGGCCATTCAAGGCAACTTTACAGTCAGCTTCTAAGTTCAAGCTCTTGCAGTATTTTTGGGTGCAGCTTATAGCACTGTAGGAGTCCCTGCTAAGGCCACCACATCATAATGTGACTTTGTGTGATGATGTATGGCTTCCTATCCTTTTGTATTTTGCATTTCAATCTCAGTCTTTTTCCATGTTATTCCCACATTGTGCTTACTCTTGCATTCCTTAAATAAAGCTGATGCACAGTCCTGTTCGAGACGCCTTATAGTACATTATAGTTGCTGTAGGAAGTAATTGCTCCGATGAAACAATAACAGAACAAATGATTGCTTAATACAATGTAGAAAGATACCTGTTCAGTAAAAGAACGCATTGTTCAATTTTATGTGTTGCTTGTGAATATGCTTAGCCATAAGAAGCCTATGTCTTCTGTAGACATTATCCTAATCTTCTGGCAGATAAATGTCTTCCAAAATGGGGAGTCAAGCATAAGAGCCCAATCGGCCATCTCAACACAAACACAATGCAGAATTGTCCCGTGATGATAGCACATTATTCTCCTGCCTGTTGTTTGGAATCGTGCTTCAGGTAGCCTTCAAAAATTTATAGGCAAGTTCTCATTTTGCTTAGAAGCCATTTAGTACCTGCATAGGCCCATGAAATCAATTGCAATATGTATCTCTTTATCGCTGAAAGATAAGAAGTGATTTTTTTTTTAATGTGAGGACTGCTAGGATTCAACAGCAGCAAACAGAGAAGCCGAATGCACAAATAAGAAGAAAAAGACGTTGAGTCACCTTTCAGGTGAACAGGCAGAATCATCCCAAGTACTAGTCACAGTCAGAAATATAATAATGCTGCTTTGCACAATTTGATCAAAGTAAAAGAAAAGCATCTTAAAAATTAAAATCTTAAATGCTATGAAATGGATTTATCACAAAAGGTCCACGTCAAAAAACAAATTTTTTAACTAGTCTTCTTGTTCTGGTTTTTTTTTTTCCGGAAGTTGTCATTATTCGTAAACTTTTGAGTTTTCCAGAAGGTTTAAGTTGAGCGTTGTTGGTTCCATCTTTCTTAGTCTAACACCCTTCTGGAAAATGACACAGATTCATAATGAGAACATTAGACCAGAGTAGCCAACAGCTCCTACAGCGGTGCCTAACTGGGTTTTGAATACATTCTCTCAGTTGTGTGAGCACCTGCCTTTACTGCCTTTCCTATAAATTGAAATAGAACCAATAAGAATATGGCAAACACTGCCAGGCTCAGTGGCTCACACCTGTAATACCAGCACTTTGGGAGGCCAAAGTGGGAGAATCACTTGAGCCCAGGATCCCAAGAACAGCCTGGACAATATGGGAAGGCCCCATCTATACCAAAAAATAACAAAATTAGCCGAGCATGGTGGCCCATGCCTGTGGTCCCAGCCACTTACTTGTAAGGCTGAGATGGAAGGATGGTTTGAGCCCAGGAGGTCGAGACTGTAGTGAGCTATAACCACACCACTGCACTCCAGCCTGGGTGACAGGGTGAGACCCCATCTCCAAAAAAAATAAAAAAGAAAAAAGGAGAAAGAAAGAAAAGAATACAGCAAACCCCAAAGACTGCCTTTGCAAAGACTGCTAGTTAGTAGGCATGGACCCAGGCCTCTTGGTTTGTAAACAAGTTTGCAGTGGCCAGACATGAGATGGAACAAGTAGAGCTATATATTGCTTTATAATAAATCATGATAAGATAAACATTATAACTTTTACAAGATGACTACGTCTTTTACAAGATACAGCATCTGAGAGACAGCCTCTGGTGGTATTGCCCTTAATCACATCTCATTTCGTTTATTTATTATGCAACTTTTGATGAAGTGAGTGATTGCATTTTCTATTATTTTTGCTGGCCTCTGTTATATTTTCATTTAACACTATCACGGCCTCTAATTGCTGTGCGGTGCTCCTCACTCCAGCCTCCTGGCCTGTTTCCATCCCCTGTATCTATCCACACAACTTAACAGGTGGGGAAATTCCATTGTAAATTCATTTGTTTGATTGCTTTTTAAATGACACCTAACAACGAAGCTGCTTTCAACGAGGAGGTATTGTCTGTTGGTTTTTTCCTAATCACAGTATCGCCCCTTTTCTGCTCTGCCCGTAAAGCTCCCTCCTGAATATGGAAAAATGGGAGACATCTGAGCAGTGTGACTTTCATCTGGCTTCCCTCCCCTCCCGGCTCCCACTTCTCTCCTCACTAGAGCACCGGGTTCTCATCTAGCCGTTTCTGGTTCTCGTTTTTCAAGATTGGCACCAATAGAAAAAGAGCTTATGAACGCCAGGCTAGATTCTTATCCTCCGTGGGTTTCCTCTAAAGCGGGGTGGGGAGGGGAACGTGAAACACGGAGGGGACAAGAGAGGAGGGCGAGGGTGGGCACATGTGAACAAATCGCAAGGCAGATTTAAGACAGGATCACAATAGCAATTAAATCAGACTTCTAAGAAAGTGGGCTATGCATTCTTTGTGGTACCTAGGAGGGAGGGTAGCCTGCTGGCTCCTGGAAGCACCAGTTTCTCCCCTTGGCAGTGCATTTTGTAGCAGTCTACACCCAAGAATGATTCAGAAACTGCTTGAAGCCATACTCCCAGCTTCTCCACAGTTACGACCATCACGGGCACACGCTGTTCTATAGACCTGAAATGAATTGCCCTTCAGGAACACTTGATGCCCGTACCTCATCCCTTTCCTGACTGGTCTTAGGAGCCACACTGCTCTCTCCCCTGCAAAACGCACCCCATGTCATCCACCAAGAACCCCTCAGAGTCTTCACGCCTGATCCTGTGTGTTAAGCAAACCTGCTCCTCCTACTCTAGGAGCAGTGGGGGTCAAGGGGAAAGTGAATGAAGGTCGCCAAGTGGGTCAGGGAGAGGGAATCTTGTTCACAGGTAAAACCTTAAAAAATAGGATTTTTTAAAAAAGCATATGGAAACTATACCACCATAACTTCTGTTTCCAACTAGAAATAGACCCCTATTTTTGTGAGGTTATGAAAAGGTCAGTGTTTTACACTAGACACTCTATACTTCCCTTCTTGATTACATCAAAAAAGTGTTATAATTTCATGCAAGAGCTATGCCTAGGGACATTTATATGGTCATGGATGTCACTTTAGTAAGACATATACTATTAGAGGTTTTTCCATTCTGAGTTTGAAGCTGTTTGAAATGTCAGCATACTTCAATGATTTTCTCAGATAGTGTGTGAATCTCTTTGACTCATTTTATCTATTTTGAATCAATTTGGTGGTTCTTCCAAAAGCCCTAAGATACGATCAGGGTGATGCATCCTCCTCAACTACACGAAAGTTTTAGGCCTGCTTCCGAGGGTGGAACACCGAAGGTTCACAGGGAGGGACTGAAGTTAGTGTTTACATTCTAGGACTTGTGCAAGATGGAGAAACAGTGATTTCTCAGTTTTTTTCATTCTAGAATATCTTACAATTTTTATAAATGTTCACAAATTGAAGAAATCAAATTCAAGCTGGAAATATGGTGTATGTGTGTGTGTATGTGTGTGTGTGTGTGTGTGTGTGTGTGGAAAGTAAGGTATTTTTGAGGGCATATCTAAAATAAAAAAAGACAGCTAATTTAAAAGAAGAATTGAAGACTCCTACTCATTTTGAAAATAACACAATGTCTTTCCTTAGAAGGAAATGTCTTTCCTCAGAAGAGCTCAATTTGACTTCTGCCTGAGAATGATCAGGGCACTGAATCACTCATTTTTCCTGTTCAAAGTATCACTTTAAGGCTATTTTTCTTCTTCTTTTTTTTTTTTAAAGGCAGAATTTTAAGGAGGATAGAAACGATGGACGAAAGTGAGAAAATCAAACAGATTTCTTTTAGTAGGTGAAACAGTAGAGTCAATTGATTTTTCTGGGGTCTACCATCAAATTAATGGTGTTTCTTTTAGCACCCAATAAATCAATATCCTATGTGTACACACACGTACACAGACAACACACATTCTGATTGCTTGTGTGTCAGCTGTTCTCTTTACATTAGTATTTTAGGTGTATACATAGTTCAAAACATTGACATAAATGATCTCCATAGAGCCCTTGAACATGTAAAAAATTTAGTTGCTTAAGATATAATTAGGATACAAAGTCTGTAAACTAATGATTTTTAAAACAACTCCTTACAAATAGTATGCAAGCTATTGCTCTTATTTCTGATTTTATGGTGAAGGAAATACATATAGTTAACAAAATAAAACCTCTATTGGTTGCAAGAAAATAGTTCAGAGGTCATTCCTAGAAAGTGCTGCTGCATGGTAGAAATCCAAATAGTTTACTAATAGTAATAGTTTCCCTTATTTTTTTTCCTCTCTCTTATTAAGAGGTTAATATTTAAAAATTGAAAAGGGATTCTAGAAAGTTCTGGATGTGGTTTATGTTTGTATATATTACATATCTTAATATGTGTGTATTATCACCCAGCACATTATTCAACAGATATCATTTACCCAAAAACTATGTGCTTAATTGAATATAAAGACAGTATTAGCATGCAATTCATTTTTAGATGATTAATTTCAATTATGGGTCAAAGAAACGTCAGTACCCCTGTTTACACTGCATATTAGCTCACCCTCTAAAGCAATAAAACATCTGAAAAGATGATGAAAGTAGCCTAGCCTCTCTGTCACACAAAACCATTGTGGAGGGAGAAGAAGGGGAAAATCCAAACTATAGAATTTAGGATTGGGGTTATCCTTTGAGCACTAATTAACTTTTCTACTTAGATATAAATACAACTGGCTATAACACTGGAAAATAACAAAGTTGCCACAATTGCTGAAAGATCTTTATACATGGTCTTTGCTCGGTCTGTCATCCCGTCCAGGATGAAGACTTCTGAGGCAGCAGTTAACATTCTAAGCATCAGTTAGCCTGTATCTGCATGTCTGCATGCTTTTAGGTTACATGACTTCTACTCTTCTTTATCTTAAAGCTCTGGTTTTATTGCTTTTACTGACCAAATGCCAAAACGTAAATTTATCCCTATCAGAATTTGTGCCAAGAGCACAAACGTAACTTTTATAAGCTCAAAACTGTATTTTCCTATTTAACTCATCAAGCAGAGAAACAATGGCTTGTCACTATTCTTCCATCCTTGGACTTTTTCATATGCTGCCAATTAACAAATTTTCCCATGTAGACGTCTCCTTGGCAGAGATTGTAAATCATACCCTTGGATACCTCACAGCTAGACAGATTCACTGACTACATGGATGGTTTATGGCTTGAGACTTTGAATAGGATCTGCAAAATAGCCCTTGACAAACTTATCACCAGGAACTGCTGGCCACACAAGCTACTGCACTACCAAATGGGAATCTGTCTGTTTTTCTTTCTCTGGGGCATTAGGCAATAGAGCCTACTTCCTTCCTTTCACCCAAGAGGTATTGTGAACAAACAATGAAAATCCAGCTCTCTATTCATGTTTGAATTTTGCCATTGTGTGTTCTGTATATCTGTCTGCCTGGCACCACCAAAGTGCAAGAGCAAGATCTAATGTGCTTCTGGACACTGTTCAGCTCTGGTTACCTGATCACATAAAAACACTGCGTGAAGAGGCAGCATCCATTTGTAAGGCTATTGAAGGACATTTTGCTCTGTGTGTTTTAACAATTCTTCTTTATGGTGCTAGGCAAATCTCTCTCTATTCACAAACTTGTTTGTTCAATCAGAAAAATATTTTGACTCTCTCCTAACACTCGGGTTTAGTATCCAGCTATGGGCTCTCAACATTCTTCAAGCACAGCCTGTACGACTAATGTATGACGTCCTTCACTGCGGAAAGTCCATCAGGGAGAAAAATATAAGTATTTACTGTAACTTTTAGGCATACAGAAAGGAGTTCAATAAATGGATTTAATGCTTACTCAAAATTTAAGAATCCATTAGGAAGTTCAGTTTTACTATGTCAGTGTGATACATTTCAGACCGTAATCATACCCTTTCCAAATCCCATTTAAAGTAAACCATTTATTTTTTCTACTTTTCCCACAAGTGCCTTAATGCAGAATTTGGATACCTTTCAGAAGAGACCTGTGAGGTAATGCATTCGAGAGACATAACAATATTTATAAAGTTTGGAAAATCTTTTGCTAAATGAATGAGGGAAATAATCTTCAGCTTTGGCAGAATGGATAATAATATTGATACTGAATTTGGTTGTTTCCTATGATTTTTATAACAGATGTGGGGAGTCAGATCCCATTATTATTCTTCAGCGGTTTTTAAGGCAAGATTTGAATTTTAAAGATTTAGGGGAAATTATTAAAGTGCTTAAAAACAGTCATTTATTCTCATTTTCCCAATATTGCCTTTTTCCTTTGGTAATATAAAGAACATTTTAATTAAATAGCAAGCAAAAAAAAAAAAAAGCCTACCATTTGTTTTTGTTTAATGCATAATTTCTACACCCATAGAATAAAAATAATGAGCTTGGTTTGACATTCACATTTGCATTCTCTGCTTATCTATTTTTAAGTGTAAGGCAGGAGCCTAAGTTTCCTTGTATCGCAAATAGGCATCAATCTCAAATAAGAGAAAAGGTAGTTTGGGCCTCTCTGACTCATTCAGTTCCTGGGCTCCTGTCACTGAAGGTGGAAACTGCAATATGAACACCTGTCCATGAGGAACTAGACTTGAGATAACCAGCTCATTTCACACAGACCATTGTCCAGCCATCAGATGGTAATTACTTTTAGTCCTCATCAGCCTCGGCTGGATCCCAGCCAGTTGGTTGTGGCTGGAAGGGTCTGTATCACATTTCCATTCATCTGAGCCATCCAGTCTCCTTCTTGCTTGTTTTCAATTACATTGACATGGTGGCTTTGGCAGATAGTAAGTAAATAGCAACATATTCAGAAAGAAAGGTCTGAAAGCCAATATCTGAAATATACTCTTGAGGTTTCCATGAGTACAATGAAATTGGCACAGCAATTCTGGCATTCTGACCCAAAGTCATAAAATACAATTAATTAAGTTAATTGTAGTGAATTTGCAGAATATTTCATGAAAGCCAAATGCAACAGATGAAAGTCTAGAAAGCAGTAGAAATGTTACTGGATTTCCTACAAAGTAAATAGTAAATTAACTAATATATTGATTATATTAGAAAAAAAGAGGATTGAAAGTGTTGTTGAAAGGTTTACTTTTATTCTTGCTTGTTTAAAACTACCTAGAAAGAGAAAAAAAAATTTCTGGATAATCCTGATGTTCTAGGACATTCTAAAATCAATTTTCAAATGATTTCACTAATTCCATATCCTTCCTTTACTCTCTTTCTTTCTTCCCCACTCAGTCTTCCCAGTCCACTCCCTGGGACTTGCCAAGCCTAACACTGACAGCTTTGTATCTTCTTGCCGTACAGAAGAAATGATCAAAAATATTAATAAAAAAGTAACTGTTTTTTATGATATGGCTCTTGTGTTAGATCAGTCATGGTTGCCAAATCATATATTCTTCTCCTCATCCTTAAATTTTTCTTCCCCGTTCCTTGAAAACTCAATCATCCTGAGCTTCCCATCACCCCTCAGTTAAGCTTCATCCAACCCACATTTCTTTTTACCTTCTCTGCTTTCACCTCAGATGAATTAAAAATACTAAATTTTAAAATACCAAATATGCAATAATGCTGGTTTTTTTTCTTTGCCTTTGCTTTATTTATCTCACCAAAAAGCATTTTCTCTGGGATATGAAGAATTGTTTTCTGTCTTGTAAAGTCTTTTGAGAAAGTTAATTAAATATTCCAGCAAGCATTTATTAAAAAGCTAATGTGCAGGTATTCCACTGGGCACTGACTACATGAAGACATGTACATCATTTATGTGCTCAAGGAGCTTGAAGCCCAAGAAACAGGAGAGAGACTCTTTGATATTTACACAGAGTAAATAAAGAAAGTGTACCTAAATATCACAGGTACTGTGATAGAATTCTAAACACGATGGAGTAGAGTCATAAAGGAGGGGGCAATTAATTCTCACAGGGCTATTAGAAGACTAGATATAAATTATTCTATCATAAAGACACATGCACCTGTATGTTCATTGCAGCACTATTCACAGTACCAAAGGCATAGAATCAATCTAAATGCCCATCAATGGACTGGATAAAGAAAATGTGGTACATATACACCATGAAATACTACGATAGCTTAAAAAAGAACGAGCTCATGTTCTTTGCAGGGACATGTATGGAGCTGGATCAAGTACCACATGTTCTCACTTATAAATGGGAGATAAATGATGAGAACATATGGACACTGGGGCCTCTCAGAGGGTGGAGGGTAGGAGGAGGGAGAGGATCAGGAATAACTATTGAGTACTAGGCTTAATACCTGGGTAACAAATAATCTGCACAACAAATTCCCATGACTCAAGTTGACCTAAATAACAAACCTGCCTGTGGACCCCCGAATTTTAGTAAAAGTTTTTAAAACAAAGTGGTGACACTTGAGATGGATACTGTGGGTTACACAGGAGTCACTGCCTGGAGGGGAAGGGTAGAGGAAGACCCAGAGATTTGAAATTGCACAGTGAGCCCTGATGGGTGGTAATGTAGGTATGAAAGAGGCCACAGCAGGGATAAGACTAGAGAGATTGTAAAGGGCTTGGTGTGCTTCCCTAAGAAATCTAGGCTTCTTCCAGCAGTCAATGGAGAGCCATCAAAAGACTTGACTTGAGGCCAGGCCCAGTGGCTCATGCCTGTAATCCCAGCACTTTGGGAGGCGGAGGCAGGCGGATCACTTCAGGTCAGGAGTTTAAGACCAGTCTGGCCAACATGGCAAAACCCTGTCTCTACTAAAAGTACAAAAACTAGCCAGGCATGGTGGTGAGCACCTGTAATCCCAGCTATTCAGGAGGCTGAGGCACAAGAATCACTTGAGCTGAGGTTGCAGTGAGCCAATATGGTGCCACTGCACTCCAGCCTGGGCAATAGAGGGAGACTCCATCTCAACAAAACAAAATAAACAAACAAAAAAACAGTATTTGGTGTGAGAGGGTCCCACAAGTGTCAGAGGAAGATGGGTTGGGGCCTTTGCCATGGTTCAGGTTAGCAGTCACAAGAGCCTAAGATGAAGCTGTCAGCCCAGGGCTGGAAGAAGCTGGAGAGGAAAGACTGTCATGAAGTTGGATTTTGGACTTGGTCACTGAATAGATGCCATCAAATAAAAGCTAGGTGTATAAAATGAATTCTGTGTTTCTTTACTGTTTCCTTCGTATAAAACGGAGGTGGAAACGCCAATACAGTGAGAGTCAGTGTTGGTCAGCAAGGAAAACGCAGGATGTGGGAGCCACTGAGTCTGGAGGGGATCCTGGCTCCTTAATTTTCTATCTTAGCTATTTAGACCCTTTGAGCCTTAATTTTCTTATCTGCAAAATGGGAAGTCATGAAATGATATTTTATAAAATTAGCTGGCATGGCGTAGGCAGTCACTAAATGTTACTCAGTCTAAACATCTTTAAGAAGAGGGGCCTAAGGACGCCGCCTCCTGACTGCAAGCCATAGGGCTGAGCTGTAGAATATTAAGAAATAATAGATGCAAGTGACTGGCCAAGCTCGCAAGCAGCGATTGGAGATGGGATGGCTATTTAGAGCTCAGGCAGCATGCAGTCCATAAGGCAAAGCACCACCAACAGTCTCCATGCTCTTTGGTTATAACCACAAACAAAAGAAAAGTCCTCACATGGGCAAAGAGCAAAAACAACAGCTGGGAACTGTACAAGGCTTTTCAGTCTCACCTGCATAAAAGACTCACCCATTGGTATCATCTTCAAACACAGGCAATGTGCTCAGTAAAGACACAAGTGTAGAGTGTAACACATTCTAATTTGGCCAACTGTAGACTGTTGTTAATGACATTTTTACTTTAGAAATAAAAGCTCCATTTTAATCCAGAATGATCATTGTGCATTAATTGGGTATGGATATGAGAGAACAATTTAGAGAAGATATTGCTTGCAAACTTCTACTTGCATATTTATTCATATACAGCTTACATAATATGTACCAATTAAGTACATGTAAATTGATCAAGCCACTAAAGTGAGAATATAAATGTATTAGTGTATATATATATATCTTGCTCAATCAAATTTACAAGAAAAAAACAAACAACATTTTGTACCTTGTATCTTGTATCTTGCAAGATACAAGATACAATAGCAAAGACTTGGAACCAACCCAAATGTCCAACAATGATAGACTGGATTAAGAAAATGTGGCACATATACACCATGGAATACTATGCAGCCATGAAAAACGATGAGTTCATGTCCTTTGTAGGGACATGGATGAAATAGGAAATCATCATTCTCAGTAAACTATCGCAAGGAAAAAAAACCAAACACCGCATGTTCTCACTCATAGATGGGAATTGAACAATGAGAACACATGGACACAGGAAGGGGAACATCACACTCTGGGGACTGTTGTGGGGTGAGGGGAGGGGGGAGGGATAGCATTAGGAGATATACCTAATGCTAAATCACGAGTTAATGGGTGCAGCACACCAGCATGGCACATGTATACATATGTAACTAACCTGCACATTGTGCCCATGTACCCTAAAACTTAAAGTATAATAATAATAATAATAAAAAGAAAATGTACATAAAAGAGACCAATTCCTAGAGAAATAAAATTTACCTAAACAGACAAAAAGAAAACAGAAAATGTAAATGGTCCTATTGCACAAACAGAATCATAACTTAAGAACCTCCTGCAAAGAAAACACCAGGCCCAGATAGCACCACGTGAAATAAAGAAATAACACCTATCTCCTTAAACTCTGCAAGAAAGCAGAAGAGGAAACATTTCCAAACCCATTTTGTGAGATTAGTATAACATTGATACCAAAGCCCAGCAAGGATATTTCTTTATACCAATTAGGAAATTCTAATTTTTTAAGATACTATTTATACTAGCACAAAAAAAAATGAAATACTTAGGAATAAATCTAATGCAAGAATATTCTTGGAAAAAAAACTTTTGTAAAATTTAATTTTTTGATTCATATAAAAAGCCTCCAGTGGGGTAAAAAAAACTTACGAAGGCTTAAATAAATGATTATAACATGTTCAAGAATCAGAAGACTATTGTAACAATGTCATTGCTCTTCAAATGAATGAATCCATGGATTCTAAATAATAGCAATTTTAAAATTTCTATTTAAAAACATCCTATAGAATGTTTTGTGACCTTGATAACATGACTGAAACATTTAGATGAAAATACTGTAAAGATGATCATGTTAAAATGTCCTTAAATGTTGCATTTCCTCTTTCCCTACATTAGAAACATTTCCAGAATTCCACATAAATAATAGAGATTCTGCTTGATAGGAAAGAATCATCCCAACCAGTATCCTCAATTTAAATTTGGAGGATTTGGCCAGATGTGATGGCTCATACCTGTAATCCCAATGCTTTGGGAGGCCAAGATGTGAGGATCACTTGAGCCCAGTTTGAGACCAGCCTGGGCAACATAGCAATATCCCCATCTCTACAAAAAAAAAAAGTTAAATTAGCCAGGTGTGGTGGCATGCACCTGTAGTCCCAGCTATGCAGAAAGCTGAGGCAAGAGGATTGCTTGAGCCCAGGAGTTTGAGGATGCAATGAGCTATGATTGCCCCAATGCACCCCAGTTGTGTGACAGAGCGAGACCCTGTCTCAAATAAATAAATAAATGTAAATAAATAAATTTGCAGGATTCAAAAATAAACACCAAGAAATAGATCCCCTGACCTAGAATTTCCAAATGAACAGCTTTCCAGTGGTAGGTCCCACACGTACTTTCTGCTGCTGGTGTGGTGCCATTTTGAGTTCTATGAAAGGCCCCTACCCTCCCCAAAGCAGTCTAGCCTTTTCTACCTGTTCTTGAGCCTTTATGTTCCGGAGACATCAGGTCAGAGTCTGCCTCATTGCAATGCAGCAATAGAATAGGCATGACAAGGGTAATACTCCCACCCCACTCCCCAAGACAAAAGGACATAAAAAGACAAAACAGGGGAAACTTGTAAAACTAAATGAGACACAAGATAGTATATGATATGGTTTGGCTATGTGTCCCCACCCAAATCTCATGTGAAATTGTAATCCTCATGTGTTGAAGGGGGGGCCCTGGAGGGAGGTGATTGAATCATGGGGGCAGATTTCCCCCATGCCGTTCTCATGATAGTGAGTTCTCATGAGGTCTAATAGTTCAAAAGCGTGGCACTTTCCCCCTTGCCCTCTCTCCCTCCTACTCTGCCATGTAAAACGTGCCTGCTTCCCTTTCGCCTTCTGTCATGATTGTAAGTTTCCTGAGGCCTCCCAGTCATGCTTCTTGTTAAGCCTGTGTAACTGTGAGTCAACTAAACCTCTTTTCTTTATAAATCACCCAGTCTCAGGTAGCTCTTTATGGCAGTGTGAGAATGGACTAAGACAGCACAGACCTTCACCGCAGCCTGTTCCTGCCACCGACAACAAGAAGAGGGAAGAACTGGACTTGCTACTTCATGCTTTCACAATAGTTTCTTATAGCTGAAAGATGAGTTGTATCTAAATGGTCCCAAAAAACTCACAAGAGAAACGACTTTCCCCTTAGCTATTCAGATTCCAAGTATTTGTTATGCCTAGACACAGCACTTCTAATTATTTTGTTTCGGATCTGTTCATTTGAGGCTTTCAGTTGATAAATAACATTGTCACCCTCACTCCACAGGACAACAGGGTTAAAACAGTTGGCCCTAAACCCTGTCTGTCCTCACATACCCCCACACTGACACCTGTAAGCCAACCCAAGTCAGCTAGCAAGGACCTGGGAGAAAATGTTTTTCAAAAAAGTCTGTGGATGGAAAGGAATCTGGGTTAAGTTTTCATGGCAATTTGTGGCTGGATGTGGGGCTGCCTCTTCTTCTGGCCGACAGCTTTCTCTTCTGCTTGGTGATGTGAGAAGTGATCACAGGTGCAATGTAATCTTGAGAAAGGAAGATGACAGAACTGGCAGTTACCAGTGGAGGGGGGAGATACCTAGGGAAATTCTAATTCAGTTCAGTACTATTTTGACTCTGTAAGTCTTTTGTAGATTGCCAAACCTGAGAAATTCCTAAACTATCACAAACACCAATGCAAACTATCACAAACACCAATGCTTTGTCCCAACTACATGAACCCAGCATTTTAAGGGTGTGTGATTTAAAGCATGCACTATTCATACAGCTCTTTGAAGAAGTCACATGGTCCAGTTTGAAAGACTCCATAACAGTCATTCAAACATTTCCCTGGTGACATTAAAAGGATTTCAACATTAAGTAAACTGCCTACTCCATAATTATGTCTAAGAAAGGGAGTCTCTTTTCCTTTCATTTACAACTCTACAGATGAATTTGGCATTTCTGATTACTGATTATATCATAATATCATATATTCTTCCAAAAATGAAAACAACATTTTTCTGAAAAGAATTTTATATGGTATGCATACTGTAGCCCAATGTGAAAAATATTTAGCAATTTTTCCTTTAATTTTATGAATACAGACATTAAAACACTTCTTTTTGCATTTTAATTGTTAATGGTCCTACCATCTTCATTGATTAATGTATCTGACTAATTACTAAATCTCCACTTCAATTTGGGCAATGTAGACTCATTTTTAATGTCAATAGGGGGAGCATGAAATATACAGTACTTGAAACAAAAAAAGTGCCTGAGGCTTGAGTGGTTAGCAAGCGCAGTTCATGACTCTCCTGGTCTACAATGGTTTACAGTTGACATTCTCTGACAAAAGAGGGCAATAGAAATTATGTTCTTATACAGTGATAAGGCATTTATGAAGCAGCTTCATTGTCAAGGTCCTTCAACCAATCACCGCTTTCCCTACCAAAACGCCAGATTTCCTCTTGGGTAGGTAGCTGACAAACATATTTTCAAGATATGTGGAAGTTGCCCATTCTCCTCCTAAAGAGATAAGGCTAAATCCCCATGCTATGTAACCCAGAAGTTCGGTGGATCAGCATGTAATGCTATGAAATCTCCCAATACATGTAGGAAGAAGCTAAGATTAAATTCTGGCCTGGGGAGACCGAAAAACGGCCCAAGCCAACCATGGCTTGACAACTAAAGCCAGAGCAAGAGGGCCTTAGTTTTAAAAGAGTGTTCCGAAAGCCTCCTAAATTGCTCGAAACTCCATTTTTTCTGCCTCAGAAGATTAAGTGTTGTGTCAGTTCCTATCAGAAAGTAGAATCTCAGCTTCCAAGAAGTCAGGTTATTTCAAGCCTGCCGCCATTACTTGTCATTTGTCTAACTCTGAAAGCAAACTTTTTTCCAAGAATTGTCTTATAAGGACCCCTGGTACTCCTGTAATTCCCAGGAGACTATTTCATAATTTTATTTGACTCCTTACCTTACTGAGAACCCCAGCCTTGACCCAACAGCACCATGAGAAATTCACCAAACTCTTTATATATCACTCAAGATAAGAGCAGTACAATTTCCACTTTGGATTGAGTTATTGGCTAAATAAATTTAAATCCCTCCCTTTGCTCAATTTACACAAAATATTCTAAGTGTTTGTATACAAAATAGAGTAAAATTAACAAATTATACAAAGGTTGATTTGTCGGTGTCTAAATTAACCTGGCCCTTTGTTTGGTTGTTGTTGCTTTTTGCTTTTTTAAAAAACAAACAATTATCATTTTGATTATTTTATAATTCCTTTAAAAATGAACAAAAACTCTAATTCGGAAGTATTTGATTTTCATTCAGAGTAGTTAGTTTGAGGAGCCTCCCCAAAAGGCAATGACTGTAATTCAGGCTTTGACACAATGACACTAAAGTGGCCACATTACATTTTATGTCTCAGAGAAACTCTGCCATACTGGCTGATTGGTATGACTAAACTCCATCAAGACAAGAACCATCCCCATCACGTCCACCTATAGGGCTTCAACATCTCACTTAGTCCAGTACTTGACACATAACAGGGCCTTCCATTGACCTAAGGACAAACATCATAATTCCAGAGGTGAGGCTCATTAAGAGGGTTCCTAATATTTAATCATCAGAGGCTGGAGAGCAGCACAGGCAAAGGTAGCACCCGAACTTTTTTAAAACAGAAATATTTGTTGCATTCAGTTGGCATCCAAAACCAAATTTCTCCTCAGTTGTGTTTAAAGGTACCTGTTCTACCTCTCCATTGGAAAGAAAACGATTATTTCTTGTTAAGTTGTTTTGAAATAAGGAAGTTAAGTAATCAAAAGGATAAGTACTCTTCAATCATCACATTCAGTATCACATTTGGTTAAAACCTCTGAGAAGACGCAGTGGGCAATGATTGTCTATTCATGATGTTTTAATTCCACTGTCGATTTGCATAATTCCATCTGGGGGTGAGCAGGTGGCTATGTGAACACACACCCCTAAAGACGAAACTCAATTGGTAAAACTCACAAAACATCATCTTGCCAGGACCAATAGCATTTTTTCCTTTATGTTTTGAGACTCTGCATGTGTGTGTGTGTGCATGTGCACGAGCACCTGTGTGTGCGTGTGTACTATCTCCCTGCAAGGATTTAGAGCTTACTTACTGCCATGTACCAGTAGATCGGACTGTTTCTGACTTGTGTTAATAACAAATGGGGATGTTACACTATTTTACAAACAAACCATAATAGAACCATGTTAAATCCCAAGTACAGGGCCAGACACCGTGGTGTTCCTGTGACACTTAACTGAGATTTGCTCCACGGCAAAATACAAGGCATCTAAGCCAGTTGAGTGGCTTGCCGGGGATGCTCTGCACAGATGACATCATCACTTGGCTTTCCAAATGCACCTCTTTGGCTCTAGCCCTTCTGGCTTTTTTCCATGTAAACAGGGCCTGATTAATGCTGCAGAAGGACTGTGAATCACGTATTCCACTCTCGCATGGGAAGTCAGAATGTCACTTTTTCCTTCTTTCGAGCACAGAGCATTGGGGTACTTAATGCGGCATCCCTAGCAACAACATGGAAACTGCCTTGGTGCTGGCTGCCAGTTTTCCGACGCACTTTGTGTGAGAGCAGCTGATGGGGCACCCATGGGAAGCCCTGCACCTCCACACGAAGCTGCATGCACAAGTCCGCCCATTATGGCGGATCACAATCACATTACAAGCCTGCCCTTTGATGTGGAGACAAGGGAAATAAAGAGAACTCCTCACTGTGCCTCCAAATGAATAAATGGGATTTCACCCATTTGGTCACAGCTGTTCAGGACTGATCAGAGCCTGGGTGACTGCATTGTACTCCTGGGGTCCCTCTTACCACCACTACCTCCAGCTGGCAACCCCATTGAACGTAGCTGATCATTAAATCAAGTAAATCCAGGAAAGCTGAAAGTAAAATCTCTCCCAGCAGAAAGAAGAATGCCAAAGATGTCAATCTTTATAACCCTTCAACAAAAATAGTTGCACTCTTATAAATAGTCAAGAAATGACTTGGAAGAATTTGGTTTGGAAGAGTGAGTGCTGGTGGCTGTCAAAACATCCTGGGGTCATGTCGGGCTTATCTGCAACAGGTGAAATGCTATACTCCCCCAGTCTTACATGGTTAACTGGAGGGTGTGGGTTGGTTATGCAGACTCAGTTGTTGGGTGATTAATGCTTCCAGTGCATGAATCGCTTCTCCTCAATGACTAACAATGCAGTTTCTGAAAGCACACCGTGATGAGGGTTAAAATAATATACTGGAGCACTCTGATGGTTGTTTACCAGATTTAGTTTCCTCCCTGCTTTGAAAAATTAAGAGACTCTGAAGCATTCAAAAGAGCCTCCTCCATTCCTCCTGCATGACATCCAAAAAAGATTTGAACATTGCAGGTAGGCATCACATGTTGCATGAAATTTTTCCAGAAAACCATATTGTTTTCCATTTTGATAAGCCAGGAAAGGAAGTGAGGGTTTTACCTTCACTCTTAAGGTCAAATAAACTAAAACCACTCACATCAGTCCAAGGGAGGAAAGGAATTTCCACATCAGTTCCAAGGTTAATGTGTTTCTAATGAGGTCTCCAAAAAGTCAGACCTTGTAGATGAAACACTAAAAGGTAACAAGCAAATATTCAGATGTTAGCAAAATTCTTTCCATTCTTTTAAAGCTACTCAAGATCTTTTAGTTCCATCCAAGAGTACACACACACACACACGCACACACACACATACACACTCAGACTCCACAAAGAGTCTAGGAGTAGGTCATTCAGGGGAAAGATTTAATTGGTCTGGTCAGAACATCAACTTAGAGTTCATAGTCTTCTAAATAATTCATAGAAGAGACTTGGAAAATTAAGTCACCAATCAGCAAGATGTAATTTTGCTTAGACGTTAATGTGGAAAGCAAGCAGTGATGATGGTAAATGCCACCATACACACTTGAGAAGTGGCGTAGCACTTCATGGGGTCCATGGTGCTTGAGGAAAATCCACATCACACCCTTAGCACTCTTAGGATTATCTGTGCTCCCTTGATCTTTTCAGGACAGCTCATTGCTCCAGGCTTTGCCTTGCAGATAAAGAGTCTGCAGGATCTCCTAATCTTGCAAAAGACCATAGAAATACTACTATCCCCACTGCTTAAGGTCTACTTTCATCGTCTCAGGGCAACACAATTGAGGCAATTCATGGGTGCACCCAAAGTATCCTCCCCCACCAAATTCCAAAATTAGAGACTGACCTCAAAGTGTAATGTGATTTTCAAGATTTGATGTTGGTGAGTAGAATTTCTATGGCTCAGAGGCTAAGTGAGGATCACCTGTTGCAGTTAAGTTTTCATCTCCACTGGCAAGGTTTAAGGAACTGCTAGCATAAAGAAGCAAAATGTGAAACTAGAAATAACTGAGATGGGGATATGGTTAGAACATTAAAATTTTAATATCCCTCTAACTAGTCATTACGTAGATAGAATATTAGATGTGTGGCTTGTTACCATAACTGTATTAGTCGTAGATTCCATGACAAGGAAGTAAGAATGCCCTCTTTTACTCACAATATTTAGAGTCCTAGTCTTAATTCAAACTTCCAAAACGAGCACAAAGACCACATGGTATTTTTTTTTGTCTTCTCTAACAGATATTTTCTTTGGGAAATAAAATTAAGGCAATTAAGAATACTTTCTACATTTTATTTGAAGCATTTTGTCTTCTGCTTTTTCACTAAAACCATCATATAATGTGTTTAGAGTTTTCAGAAATTAATAAAGTCTAGGTACTGACATTTTTGGGAGATCAGTTTGCTCACCTGTAAAGTAGTTCATTAATGAACTCCCCGATATCTTCTAATTCTGAGTCAATACTTCTAAAGCCATATAAAATATTGTGTCAGCTATATTTGGTTAGGCTGCATATAATAAGTTAATTAATAAATAGTAGTAGTTTTAAAGAGACACAAGTTTATTTTTCTCTCACATAAAAATAAGTCTGGAAGTAGGTTGACAATGCTGGTTCTATGGCTTCCCAATCATCAACGTCCCAAGCCTCTATCTTGCTGCTCTTTCCATCTTCAGTTGACAAATGGTCTAATATGGCTGCCAAGCACCAGCCATTACATTTGCATTGCAGCCAGAAAGAACGAGGAAGAAGAAGAGTCTCTGACACTTCTTGTCAGGGATCATTAACTAGAACTTTAACGTACAGCTACAGCAAGTTGCAAAGGAGGCTGGAAAATATAGTCTTTATACATATATTTAATATATATATATTAGAATGTGGATGGTTATATACATACATTCAGTTATACACATACTGAGTCTCACTCTGTCATTCAGGCTAGAGAGGAGTGGCATGATCTCGGCTCACTGCAGCCTCCACCTACCAGGTTCAAGCAATTCTCCTGCCTCAGCCTCCCGAGTAGCTGGGATTACAGACACCTATCACCACACCCAGTTAATTTTTGTATTTTTAGTACAGACAGGGGTTTCACCATATTGGCCAGGCTGGTCTCGAACTCCTGACCTCAAGTGATCCACCCACCTCAGCCTCCCACAGTGCTGGGATTACAGGCATGAGCCACAAGGCCCAGCTAAAAATTCTTATTTTCTTAAAATTGTAAAGGACTGTTTATTTCAAAGTTAATGTCAGGGAAAATTAGTGTATAAATAACATAAACATACAAGTAATAACTAGAAATAATTGAGATAGGGATTTGATTACAACATTAAAATTTTAATATCCCTCTAACTAGTCATTATGTAAATAGACTATTAGCTGTGTGGTTTGTTACTGTAACTGTTATTAGTCGTAGATTCCATGACAAGGAAGTAAGAATGCCCTCTTTTACTCACAATATTTAGAGTTCTAGTCTTAATTCAAATAATTAATTCAAATAATGTATACATATATAAATAATAAACAATATGTAAATAAATTAGTTTTAATTTGGTGTCACTGTGGCTTATTCTTATCCAATTATTGCAGCTAAGGATTTAAATCAAATAAAACTCTCCCCTCTGTATTAGCTTTTCATTTTAAGAGTTTGAAATAATCAGAAGCTAAAACAAATGTAAAATAAAATGGGAGGCAGACTTAGTAACCAGTGAAGTAGGTTGAATAGAGAAAGGATTGTGGATCTGAGTCTGACCTGGGTTCTAGCCCTAGCCCTGCCGCTTACTTGCTCTGTGACTTTGGACAAGCCATTCAGCCTACTCTGATCCTGTTTCATTGTCCATGAAATGAGAATATGTATTGCACTAGGATGGTGCCTGAGTCCCTGATTACTAGGCTGGATAAAGTGTGCCTGAGAGAGTACAAAGCCCAGGCTATGGAACTGGATGGAGGCAGAAGAGGGCAGAAAAAAGTAGCAGTGGCAAAACAAGAAGCCGCAAAACAAGGCAGAATGGAAAACACAAAAGGGGGTAGGGGAGAGTTCGTCACGTTGCCCAAGAGGCTTTAGGACATGACCTTGTTGAAATTATTTCTATGCTAATAATTTAAAAGTTTCTTTTAAAGCAGGAAGATGTTCAAACCAATGCCTTTTCCCTTATATCGAAGGTCATGGATTTTAATTTATAATGTGTAATCCAAGTAATGGCCTAGTGAAAATTCCAGTGAGTACCTTTACCGTAATTTCAACTCAAATTAAAATAATCACAGGATCAGAGACTCCTCTATTTACTGCGTTAAAATTGAACACATGGTCCTATTGGTTTCTTTTGAAAAGTTGATGGCATGTTTAAGCCCCTAAATCGAAGACGCAGATAAACAGTCAAGAATTTGGAAATAAGTTAAGGCAGGATCTGATTATCAAAGACAAATGTATTTGAAACCCATCAACCAATCAACCTGTCTCCATGTATGGAATGCCTATAGTGAGCCAAAGAGAGTTCGTCCACAAAGCAAACACCAGGTACCAGGATGTGTCTGTTTCTTTTTAATTTTTTAAAGATTTTCTCTGCTATCACTGTTCCTTAAGTTGGAAAGCTCAATTTCTGTATTTTCATGATGATTTTGTCACATTCTCTACACTTAGGCCAAACAAGAAGAATGGAACATAAGCGTCCCTTCATAAAAAGAATAAGGCATGGCAATTTCACATGGGAATCAGTAACTAGTAGACCTCATCTTTTCTATCACTTTTTTTATTCATCTACTTATTAAATATTTATTAAGCACCTACATTATGCTGGAGGCTCAGCTAAGATTGAAGATATAAAAATGAATTAGACACACTCCCTTTTTTTTTTTCTTTTTGGAGGCACAGTCTCCCTCTGTCACCCAGGCTGGAGTGCAGTAGTGCGATCTCAGCTCACTGCAGCCTCCAAACTCCCAGGCTCAAGCGGTCCTCCTGCCCCAGCCTCCCGAATAGCTGGGATTACAGGCACATACCACCACACCTGGCTAATTTTTTTATTTTTAGTAGAGATGGGATTTCACCAAGTTGGCCAGGCTGATCTCAAACTCCTGACCTCAAGTGATCTGCCCACCTCAGCCTCCCAAAGTGCTGAGATTGCAGGTGTGAGCCACCGCGCCTGGCCTAGACACACTTCCTATCCTCAAGGTGCTCGTTCCAAACTAGGAGAGGTTCAATGTGAGTCCAAAACAGAATTCTGACCCTCAATGTTCAGGGAACAATGATGAAAAATGTAAAAGACAGCGTAGTAATGATTAGGATGGTGCTGAATGCTATCAAAAAGTTTGAGGCATTTGAGTCCCACTTTCACTTACTACCAAGTTGTACAATCTTTCTAAGACTCATTTTTCTTATCTGTAAAATGGGACAATAGTACTTACTTTATAGGTTGCTTAACTGTCCAAAGTAGGACAAGGACCCAGTGATTCTGGGCCACCTTTATGATTATCATTATCACTGATGATGTAATTCCAGCATGCCCAAAGGAAGAAAGTGCCATTGCTAATGAGAGGGGAGCATCTCTTGAACTGTGATTCTTCGATGATGGAGGAATGGCCAAAAAAAAAGTTTGACAGAACTGGGTTTGCAGAGATGGGGCCTCCTGCATTGACATAAGAATGCCATTACAAGCAAAGAACATAAGGTTTCAAAATTCATCTTAGATAAAGGTCCCGCAGTTAGTTTTGTGCTGGGGGCAAGAGGAGGAGGGAGTTGCTTTGATATTCTATTGTTCTGTTTTCATCTACACCCAAACATCCTGGTTTGAGTCTCTGGATTTGAGTCTCTGGATTTCTAAATATAACTTTGAGAAAACTATAATTACACATTTTCAATGTGGATGAATTACTTAGTTTCTGTATTAATCACATCAAGCTAGTAAACATGTAAGCACACATCTTAACTGCAAACGGTAGTAAAAGTAATGTCATAGGAAATCATTTTATTCTAAACCTGGTGGAGAATTTCTGCCCAATGCCAAGGAAGAGGAATGGTCCATATCTATAGACAAGCCCATTCAGTCACTTGATTTTTCATAGATTGCTGTGTCCCTTCTCAGGAGGAAGTCAGTTTCTCTCACAGCTGCTCACATGGAATGGCTTTTGTGATGTTAAACCTGTGAGTCAGTATTTTACCCACAATACCCATGTTTCAAAACTAGCCTGCAGCTTTTAAGGAGCAGCCAGAAATTGAATAGTCCAGCAGCCAAATGTTCAGGACTGACCACCTTTGTAAGCTTATGGCTGATTATTGCAAGAGCCTGAAATAGGTGTTTAAATATTTGAACACGTAAGAAGCTTTCGAAGTGTTTACTGGGTCTCTGGGCCACCTCTCTCTTTCCTTTCCATCCACTCCAAACTCCCACCCACCTCCTCCTCTGGCAAACTTCTACTCATCAATGTTCACAGAAAAACTGAAATTGACAAGAATGCTTGAAATAATGGGATGCTGAGTCACCACCAATGTCTGCTGGAGCCCGGAGCTTTGGAATGTGTAGGGGTATGTGTGCGTGTATGTGTGTACGTGTGTGTGCATGTGTGTGCATGTGTGTGTGCATGTGTGTGTGCATGCAAGTGTGTTTTATCCACCCCCCAGCTGCTTATAGTGGGCAGTGACTCAGAGAGGCAGAGAGGAGAAACAGCGGCTTACCAGCTTGTTCTAAAAACATCTGCGTATTCTGTACACATAATCAGCCCACAAACCACCATCGCCACTATTACCGGCAATTGTTCCCATCTCCAAGAATGTCCATTGTCCTTTTCATTCACTGGTCTATTTCTTATTGAGCAACTACCTTACGTTGGGTAATAGGGTAGGGGATGGAGGTGGTTGTTCAGGCATGGTCCCTGCTGGGGGAGACAGATATTAATCAAATTAAAACACAAATAAGTGTAACACTGCAACTAGGACAAAATGAAGCAGAGGGAGATGTTGCTATGGAAACCTAAAAGGAAGGCTGAGGAAGGTGGGTGGCAGTTCCCCTGAGGATGGGATGCTCACCTGAAAGATGAGTAGGAGTTAAATGAGGAAGAAAGGAAGACGATGTCAAGCACAGAGAAGACCACTTGAAAGACCCCCAAGACTGGAGCATGTTGTGTGAACAGGGCAGAGAGAAAAGGGAGAAAGAAATAGGAGAGGAACTTGGAGAGGCTGGTGCTACCACGTTTGGCCAATGGGCATATCAAGAAATGTGTCCTTTACATAAATGCAAAGGGAAACTCTTGAAAATTTTGAGCAAAGAGGCAACCTGATCCAAATTAGGTTTGGCAAAGATTGTTCTGGCTCCAAGATGAAAAAGAATAAGAAGGAGAGGATGGAGGGAAGAATAGGTGGTGATGCATTTGTTTTAGGAAGCTTTGGGGACTTCCTTTGCTTTGTGTGTGCCCTTGATGCATTTATTCATTCTATGTATTTTATTGAGCACTTATTATGTACCAGACATTGTAGTAGGTCTGTGAACAAAAGCAAACACAATGTCGGCATGATAGAGTTTAATTTAAAGAATATTCCTTGTATCACAATTGTATAGATACAAAATTACTGGGACAGAAGACAGAAGAGATGGGTGGGTTTCCCAGATCCAACATCCTTTTCTGAGGTCTAGGCTCACAGCTAAAGAGGGATTTTATGTGACATAAATAGGAAAAGTAGAGGTGAAATTCCAGGCAAGTATCCTGAATATGGCACTGATATCCTGTGTTCCCCTCCAAGAGAGGAATCTCGAAATAAAATTGAGAGCAGTGGCCCTTAAATTTCTGAACTCTCCAAGGCACTCGGGCATCACTGTCTCCATGTATTCACACTCGCGAAAACCAACTCATTTCCCTAGCGCACTCTCCTTACACCGAACAGGTATCAAAAATGTACGTTTTATTAAAGCAGTAAATACACATTGTTTCAAAAGTTAGGTATTACCATAAAACCTAGAGAAACAGCAGTCCTCGTCGCAACCCTTCAACGTCTGAATTCCACTCCTCAGAGTCACTTAAAGTTTTGCAATTCTTTTTGTGGTCTTTTCTAGTACTTACTGATCTTTATGTTTGTAATAACATATTGTCTTGTTTTGTTTTGTTTTTTTAGAGGCGGAGGTCTCACTATGTTGCCCAGGGTAGTCTCAAACTTCTGGACTCAAGAGATCCTTCCACCTCAGCTTCCCAAAGTGCTGGGATTGCACACATGAGCCACTGCATCCAACCAATTGCTATTTCTTGATTTTTCTTTTTTAGTCATCTGTTTTGATTTTGTATTCTGAAAAGCTTTCCCCATTCCAGCCTGCTCCACTTCATTCCCTATCCTTCCAGTGAAGTCACACTATAATTTTGGTTACATCAGAATTTAGTGTCTGTCTTATTCTTAACGTATGCAAAAATTTCCAAAGCTGAGCCATACAATGCATTTCGTTTCATATTTAAGTTTACATTGTCCCTGGGGTTAATGGTTGCATTTTTTTCAATTGTTTTGTTTTCCATGAACTATTGCCACTTTAAACCTAAACTGTCCCAGGGAATCCTGAAATGTATCTCACAATCTTCAACTGCGAATTCCATTTTCTCCTGGCCACTCCTCCTGGGGCCCTCGGCCTGCCTGATGCAATCTGGTGAGGGGTTCTCTTGGCTACTCCATGGCTGGCCTTTCCTTCACCATCATCCTGGGGTATCCTGTCACCTCTCTCTTTCTCTGGCTGGTCCCTGTTTCCTCATTCCCAGGCCTTCTTCTCTCCTGGTTTCCTCACTTTGCTTGGCAGGGCACCTCTCCAAGTTGCACCATGGAAGGAAACAGTTTCGAGAACTTTCCTGTCGGAAAATATCTTTACACCATGTGTATATCACAGTTTACAATGCAGAGTGCCCCCTCCTCTATTTGGGAGGCTGAGGCAGGAGGATGGCTTGAGGCCAGGAGTCTGAGACCAGCCTGGGCAACATGACGAGACCCCCATCTCTACAAAAATAAATGTTTTTTAATTAACCAGACATGGTGGGACACACCTGTGGTCCCAGATACTCAGGAGGCTGAGGTGGGAGGATCGCTTGAGCCCAGGAGTTCAAGATTGCAGTGAAGTACGATTGCACCACTACATGCCATGCCAATCTGGGTGATGCAGTGAGACCCTATCTTAGAAAAAGAAGAAGAGGAAGAAGAGGAAGAGGAAGAAGAAGAAGGAGGAGGAGGAGGAAGAGAAAGAGAAGGAGAAGAAGAGGAAGAGGAAGAAGAAGAACAATAAGAAGAAGAAGAAGAGGAGGATGAGGAGGAAGAGCAGGAGGAGGAGAAGGAGGAAAGAAAGTCCACTCCCATTCCATCTTCCCTATAGCTTCAGACAATTGTACCACCCAGTTCTACCTGCCATAAGAAGTGAAATGACTAGCCCAAGGCACAAGTCTCCATGGGATGTGTGGACAAGCAGTCTCTGCCTCTACCTCTGTGAAGTGAACAGAAAAACACAAAGAGATTTGCAAACTGTGTGTGCTAAGGAGTGGATGACTTTAATAAATTAATGAGGCATGCACCTGCTTATAAACATATTGCATATCTCTTTATAGGACCTTCAACAACCTAAGGGTGTGTTATTAAGGACTGGTTCTTATAAACTTAAAAGTTTTCATGGCCTAACAGCATTGAGTCAGAATTGTTTCAGAAAAGACAGTTTTGTGGGCAAATTATGAAATGATCAGTACACAGTCGCTGTCTATGCCAATCCTCTCCCCTCACGGCCCTCACTCCCACAGAGCCCCTCACTTCTGCCTCACTCCCTCTGGTTTTGCATCTCTGAATCAATGCTTTGGCTTAGAATGACTTCAAAGCAGGTGTCCTAAGCAAAGGTACCAAGGGGAAGAAATGTCACGGAGTCCTGAATAGATGAACAGATGGCACCGAGTCTCCCTCCACTCCATGGCAAAGACCCTTGGCAACGAAAAGCATGGTGACAAAACACGATTCCATGTTGTTGCTTTCTTCTCTGACAACAACGAAAACAAGATCTCCATTGTGTATTGTTTCTGCCTTGATTACAATAATTTTAACAACTGCTTCCTTTGAAAAGTGGAAAATACCTTTCCTATCTTCGACTAATCACCATCAGCACCCAGCATGATTACTCATCTAACCTTCTTGGGGGATGTAGATATTTAAAACTCAGCTGTAGCTGACTAGTATAAGCCCTCTTTTTCCTATTTTCCATAACAATCACAGACTCATTGCCTACTAGAGCCTGGAAGGACCTTACCCGTCACCGGGTATGCCTCCACCTCCCGCACACAAGAAAGCCAGGGACCTGAGGGATGTGAGACTCGCCCAGGGCCACACACCTGGAGAGGGGCAGGTCAGGACCAGAGCTCAGCTCAGAGTTCTTTCTTTGAGTCATTAGTCGATTTAATGGCTTCTCCTTATACAAAAGTTTTCACAATAGCAATCAAATAGCATTTTGGTAAAAATTAATGAATGCAATTAAGATGTGCCATCAAAGGATCAAGATTATAATTGAACAATTTGATGAGCTGTCTATTCTCCCAATGTGGTCCACACTTTCTCTTTTGATTTCCTCTGTTCCTCAGAGTTCTGTACGAGAGTCTCACCTGGGGAGTGGAGCCTTCCATAGTTGCTTCATGTAGTCAATCTCTACCTCTACGGCCATCCTTTCTCACTGGTATCTCCCCGGTCCCCCTCCAGAATCCCGCAAGCCAGGGAGGGAACAAATATTAGCTGTTTTAATTTTTTCTTTGAAAGGCTCTTTGAGTTACCCAAATCACCTGTGTCTCTGCTCTTCCTTTCGCCTGTGCTGACCCTGCCACTCTCTGTTTGCTGCTAGACTGTGATGCTCACTTTCTAACGCAAATCCAACACGGCCACTGCAAAAGCCATTTTGGTTTATGTAAGGAAAGTGCCAGATATTTTGTGGATGGGGTGTCAGGAGCACACTGCAAGCCAAGCACCTGCTAAAGCAAGCTTCAGAAGCAGTTTAACTTCTGTTGCAGCAGAGCCAGTCACAGAACAAGAGGAGGCATGTGCAACATGGCTGTTTCACAATTTCCTCAGGTCTGATACCAAATCTATGGCTCTTCTAGACAACAGACCCAAGACCCCTTAAGGGATGTTGCCACAGTTACAGTTTCTGCAAATACCAAATAAATGCTGATTGAAGTGTATGTCAAGCTCACCAAAACAAAAGTGCCGGTGTGTATTTTGCCATGCGTGGCCCTATTACACTTTTTCATCTATTCAAATGTTGATTGCGTGTTTTGCAATGAGTTTTCTTGAATATGATTTATTTAACCTTTGCAATGAAAAGAAACCATAACTCAAGACAAGACACAAACGATGCCTGCCAGGATGACTCTCCTTAAACTGGTTTATTTCTTTTTAAATCACAAAAGCACAAAGGATCCAGAGTCTCTGATAATGAACGTAATATATGATTGCCATAAAAAGTTCACTCTCCTTTCAATTTCAATTTACCTCACTATAAATCAGTGATCCACTTAATCAAATATTCTTCCACTTTAATTGTTTTATCTGGCTTTTATGTTAAATCTCACTGAGTTACTGCTGGCACCAGTCTTCACATTATAGAAAAAATGTCAGTGGTTGCCCCTTAATTAGTCTAAAACTCAAACATTGGTTCTGAACATTAACCAGATTGAAGGGAGCCCTTATGATTTCACTGGACTAGGGGACAAATTCAAGTCAGAAAGTAAACCAGGATCAGTCAAGCTAGCCATCCATCTGCTGTCAAAATATGGAGTGCGGGCCCTGGCTTTCAAACTAACTGGAATTTTTTTTTTCATAAATGTCTTTCGTTATTATCTTACAGGGCATTAAAACTCTATTTGGTTGTCTCTTAAATTCTCCAGCCTGAAACTGTCTGTTTAAGCATTGCAGATACTTGCCTGAACTAGCCCAACAGTTCCCATGAGAAAATATGTCAGTACAATGTACCGCATAAGGCCACAGTCAAACTTCAGCGTCTGTGATGAAGGGCACTTCCTGGATATTGTAAAAGACAAGTAACTGTCCCTG
This sequence comes from Homo sapiens, assembly GCF_000001405.40. Classification (NCBI taxonomy): domain Eukaryota; kingdom Metazoa; phylum Chordata; class Mammalia; order Primates; family Hominidae; genus Homo; species Homo sapiens. The sequence goes on along the minus strand of NC_000010.11, from coordinate 8,301,012 downwards.
GTGGGTAGTCCGGTTCTGTAAACAAGAAAGAAAAAAATGAATTCCATGTTATTGATTGATAAACACCTTTCTGACAAGGTCTATGGGGACAGCCTGATAGAGTGCTGTTAAATTCAACACTTACAGCCAGGGCCCCGGTCAAATGCTATTTGGACACACGTTACTTGAATTGTAATCCTCGACCTTCAAATAAATACTCAATAGAATGTATTACATGAAAATTCGAAAAATCTTTAAAGCCAGGCGCAGTGTCTCATGCCTGTAATCCCAGCACTTTGGGAGGCTGAGGCGGGCAGATCACGAGGTCAGGAGATCGAGACCATCCTGGCTAACACGGTGAAACCCCGTCTCTACTAAAAATACAAAAAATTAGCCGGGCGTGGTGGCAGGCACCTGTAGTCCCAGCTACTCAGGAGACTGAGGCAGGAGAATGTCATGAACCCGGGAGGTGGAGCTTGCAGTGAGCTGAGATCCCGCCACTGCACTCCAGCCTGGGCAACAGAGCGAGGCTCCGTCTCAAACAACAACAACAACAAAAATCTTTAAAAATAAACTGGGAGTGAAGATATATACAAACCAGTCCATTGGCTTCACTCAGTCCATTGGAATATAAATATTTCCAAAGCAAAGAAGCATCCTCTGGAGTTTGAGATACCTATTTTTGAATTTCACACACAGGCAGTGGAAAATCCTCTTGAGTATTGGGAGGATAACAAAGCTACATGCCATTTACAAACCTTCCTTGAAAATATCTATATTTTAATATTTACTTATGTCTCTATCTGTTTCATAAAAAGCTGAAGCCAATGACACAACTTAAAACTTTTTTTCACTTGAACTATCTAGCTCAAAAACAAAATGTTTTTCCTATTAAGCAAATGCTAAACAATTCTTCCTAAAATCCGAGAAAGAAAAATACCTTAAACTCACTCAGGAAATGTGAACTTTATTTCAGGCATAGCTACAGGTATTAATCAATATCAAAAGACATTTTTCAAGGCATTTCTTAACAGGTTTTTAAAAAACCTATTGTTTAAATGAAACCTGAGTTCTAAGAAATCGGAAACATTTAGAAAGAACTTGACAGAATCATGAAAAACTTATTTATCGATAGACCTCATTTATGCAAATGTTTGTAAAGTATCATGTTATTATGGTAATTATTTTTATTTTCATACTTATCACATCAGACAAGCATGGTGAAATAATATATATTAAATACATAGATAGAGTTATCATAAGAGAGAGAATCTAGTAAAAAAAAAAGACATGAAAAACATCCCATTAAAGAAAAAGCCTTTATATGGGACATTATTCACATTTCTGCAAATGGAATTTTCTGATTAACTGCCATATATTATATTATTTGAATAACTTTAGGAAAGATTAATTTCCAAGCTCTGTCCCTGGTAGTATTTTTTCCTGGCTGAAATTGGGCTTTAAAACAAAACGTCAGCAATGCAAGCTGACGATTCCAGTTACAGGTTCAGAAACTTCGAGTGCAGGCAGTTAAAAGTGATTTAAGAAAGGCAAAATCATTCTTTCACAAATGTGTATGTTAAACTTGTAAATTGATATATCAAAACCACAACCGGAATATAGCAATTTGTCTCTCTTTGCCTGCTGTGGTGTCTCCCGCAGCTGCCTGCCAGATAATATACTGATTGTAACTTTCCTAATTTACAGAGCCTTTAAGTCTAATCTCCTGGGCCAGCCTAAAGGGCTTCTTCATCCATTGAAATGCCAGAATAATTGAAATTGTCTTCAGCAGACAGTCAGGCAATAATGAATATTTTCTCTGCTGATTGCATGCCAAGGTTGCACATAGCACTGCAAACAGAAATGATCCCAAACCGAGCCTCCCCAGGGAGGGGCAGCCGCTAACCTTTGGCATGAGGCACAATACCGACGGCTTCCCCTTCTCACGGGCTCCTGAAGTCACGGACGCCCACCAAGCTTTTGCACAACGAGGTGCAGCACAGTTGCCGCGTGAACAATGATGCCATTGGCTTCCCTGACTCTCCAGAGGCAGCTTAAAGGCTGGGAAAGGTTGTGGTTATGGATTTTCTGATGGGGGCAGCGGGAGAGATGAGCAGAGGAGGCTGCTGTTGGCATTAAGAGGAAATATACCAATAGTTAATCAAAAGAAACCCGGCGTTGAAGGGGCATGAGAGGACGCTGGCTTGTCAGCTCTGGAGCAGCATTTCCCATACCTTTGAATGGTTTTTGTGAAAGCCGGGAGTTCTTTCCTGACTCAGGATCAGTGCTGCTTCATTGGCGTCCTAATGATGTGCTGATTGAAATTAAAGTGTTTGGTAGCCGAAGCCAATCACTAATATCTTCAAAAAATCTAAAGACTAGTTTAACCTTCATCTACGGAAAGGTTGAAGAAGTTTTGAATAATTAATATAAGCAACTAATCTTAGATTATGGCTACTTCCATGATATGCGTTAGAGGAGGAAATTGGGGGATGAGAAAGGAACTACCCTAAGACAATATGGATTTAAGCCACATAGGAAGTGTGCAGATTAAACAGCCGGGCGTGGTGATGCACCTCTGTAATCCCAGCCCAGCTACTCATGAGGCTGAGGCAGGAGAATCGCTTGAACCCTGGAGACGGAGGTTTCAGTAAGCCGAGATTGCATCACTGCACTCCAGCCTCAAAAAAAAAAAAAAGAAAAGAAAGTATATAGATTGAAATGAAGGCAGCAGCATAAGTTACACAGGGGAAAAGAATATAAAACCAGCTGTTTATGAGATAACTGAACTGCAATATCTGACCTACTAAATAATCATGCACCAAATCTACAGAGTGTAAACAGCCATAGATCTATGGCTGTCCAAGATGCAGCAGCTTAATCCAGCCATGAACATTTATCATCTTGCATAATATCTTGGTTCAGGAATCCAGGAGCATCTTAGCCGGGTAGTTCTGAGTCAGATTTTCTCACAAGGTTTCAGTCAAGCTGTTGCAGAGTTGGGGCTCAGAAAATGATAACCCAAAGCCTGGCACTTTGGCAGGCTGAGTGCATTGAACAAAAGGAGATTGGAAGGCATCAGAAGCAAAGACTCTCTCCGACTCTCCCTGCTCTCCTGTCTGCACCTGCTCCTCCAAAGGAAGTCATAGAAACTAGAATTCCTCTTCTACCAGGTAGGTCATAGGACTAGAACCCTTCTTTCCCAAAGCAAGCCATAAAACCTGAAATATTGCTCTAACTTACACCCACCTATCTGTGTAAGAGCTGGCTACAAAGAAATTCTCTGTCCAGGCATGGTGGCTCATGCCTGTAATCCCAGCATTTTGGAACGCTGAGGCAGGTGGATCGCTTGAAGCCAGGAGTTCAAGACTAGCCTGGGCAATGTGGCAAAATCCCATCTCTACAAAAAATACAAAAATTAGCTGGGCATGGGGGTGCACGCCTGAAATCTCAGCTACTCAGGAAACCAAAGTTGGAGGATCTCCTGAGTGCAGGAGGTTGAGGCTGCAGTGAGCCATGATCACACCACTGTGCTCCAGCCTGGGTGAGAGAGTGAGACCCTGTCAAGAAAGAAAGAAAGAGTAGCGAGGGAGACAGAGACAGAGAGAGAGAGAGAGAGAGAGAGAGAGAGAGGAAGGAAGGAAGGAAAGGAGGGAGGGAGGGACGGAGGAAGGAAGGAAGGAAAAGGAGAGAGAGAAGGAAGGAAGGAAAGAAGGAAGGAAGGAAGGAAGGAAGGAAGAAAAAAAGAAAGAAGGAAACAAACAAACAAACAAAGAAACAAAGAAAGAGAAAGAAAGTGTGGCAGGGGAGAGAGACAGAGAGAGAGAGAGGAAGGAAGGAAGGAAGGAAGGAAAAAGAAAAGAAAATAAAAGAAATTCTCTGACATAGTTTGTCTGATTGTAGGTCTAAGGCCTTTATTCCAGAGGCACACCACTGTACCCCAGAAAGAAAGAGCGGTGGGGGAGAGAGACAGAGAGAGAGAGGAAGGAAGGAAGGAAGGAAGGAAGGAAGGAAGGAAGGAAGGAAGGAAAGAAGGAAAGAAGGGAGGGAGGGGAAAATAAAAGAAAAGGAAAGAAAAGAAATTCTCTGACATAGTTTGTCTGATTGTAGGTCTAAGTCCTTTATTCCAGAGGGACACCACTGCACTCCAGCCTGGATGACAGAGAAGGAGGGGAGGGAAGGGAAGGGAAGTGGAGAGGAGGGGAGGGGAGGGAAGCGGAGAGGAGGGGGGAAGGAAGGGGAAGGGAAGGAAAGGAAGGAAAGGAAGAGGAAGGAAGGGAGGGAGGAAAGAAGGAAGGAATTCTCTGACATCCTTTGTCTGATGGTGGGTCATAGGCCTTTATTCCAGCGGGTTCCTGCCCTATACGCTATACCCGGGAGGAAGGAATGCTGCACAGACAGGCTGGGAAGAATCTAAACAGACAGGCCCTGCTGGGTGCCCCTCGGTCTATTACCGTTGCGTCATACCCTCTCGTCCCGTCGTATTTCTACACGGCTGAGAATCTAAGCATAAAAATGGACAGATTTCCCTGGGTTTGGGGGTCTTCATTTCTGAAGTCTCTCATGTCACATAAAACTTTGATTACAGAAATCTGTCATGCTTTTCTCTTGCTAACCTGTCTTTGTTACAGGAGAGCTGGCTGCGACTCTTACAATGGGTGAGGGAAGGGATTGCACTGCTCCGCCCCCACGGCGGTCATCTGACCCCCGCAGGCATCATCCACTTCCCAGGTGGCTCCCTCACATGCCTGGCCAATTCGTGCAGGTTGTTTGTTAGCAGGAGGTCTCGGTTTCTATCACGAGGATCTCTTTCTAGGGCTGCTTGAATGTCCTCGTGACACGGCAACTGCCTTTACCCAGAACAAGCAATTCAAGGGAGGGCAAGGCAGGAAGGAGCCACAGTAGCCTCCGTGCCTGGCCTCGGAAGGCACACACTGACATGTCCACACCATCTTCCAGACTACGCAGGACAGCCCTGCCTAATGTGGGAGGGGGCCATGGAAGGACATGAATACCAGGAATAGCCACCACAGACATGTGTTATATATCCAATTGCATAGATCTGCTCGTCTCCTGGGCTCAAATATCCCACACCACCGCTCCCATTCCCATCACAGCCTCACACATCTTCTTCCCCAGGTAAGAAACAGGGGATATATGTCATTAAATGTGTTCCATTCTTCCCCATGTCCAAAGCTCAGAAGGGTCTTCCCACTGCACTCACCACTCCCAAACCCTGGTCTCCCTGTGTGCTCACTCTCTCACACTGCGGTCCCTCACTGTGCCACTCTGTCCACTAGGAAACCTTTCCCAAATGGCCCTACCAGGCTCCAAACTACATGTAGACTTACCAGAGTCCAAATAAAAGAGAAAGAAGAAAGGAAGGAGGAGGAGAGGAAAGGGAGAGAGAGGAAGAAAGGAAGGAGGGAAGGAGGAGGAGAGGAAGGGGAGAGAGAGGAAGGAAGGAAAAAAGGAAGGAGGGAAGGAAGGAAGGAGAGGGGAAGGGAAGGGAAAGAGAGAGAAAGAAAGAAGGAAAGAAAAAAGGGAGAAGAAAGAAAGAAAAAAGAAAAGGAAAGAAGGAAGAAAGGGAGGAAGGAAGGGAGGGAGGGAGTAAGGAAGGGAGAAAGTCACCCATACATGTTTAAAATGTAGTGAAAATAATACAGCGAATTGGCTACACCAATGACAGCAGCACTGAGAAGTCAGACAGAAGAAGAAGAGGTAACTGCTCCCATCCTTAGGTTGAAAGAATAAGGGAGGAGCACTGTGGCCAAAGGAAAAGTCGTGGTCACCTTGTAGAAGCCAGGGCCCAGTGCAACCATTGGGTGCTGTGGGTAGGAGCAGGAACCATGAAGACCAGATCTGGAGAGAACGGGAAAGAGAAAACCCCAGCTTCCTTCTTCTTCCCACTCCCCAGCCTCCTGCCAAGCCCCCATGGATGGAAGCCAGCTGGCAGGGACACGTCGGGGGTTAGCACTCCATGCCATTCAGAGTAGAGCAAGGAAAAGAAAAGGCACCCCTCTTTAGGCCAAAGCATTGTGCTGAATTGCATTTTTTCCACTTAACATTTATGTAAATATTTTTGCTTTCTTTGTAGTTTCTGTAATCATTATCATAAATCGGTATCATCATCCTGTTATGCATATGAACCCTACTTGGCTTAATCATTTCCATCGATTTATATCTTTAGGTTCTTCCACTTCCTCATCATCACTGCTTTGATTTTCAAGTGACAATTCAACTAATAGCTTTATTGTTTAGCTTTTTCTTCTTTTTACGCATGCTCTTGGGGCAAATTCTTAGAGGTGACCATTACTGAACTAAAGAATATCAACATTTTTATATCAACTGATACATATTTTGGGGCATCTTCTTTTAGACTAGCATTCTGACTGTATCACTTGTCTGCACGTCTTCCTACTAACAAAGCAAAATGAAGGCCAAAAGGTACAGGCATCTCAGGACCCAAGCCCACATTTCTAAACACAAATAAGAGAACTTCCAGCACTTTTACAAAATCTTCATTTTGATGTTGCAGCAACAGCAGTAGCAAAATCTTTGCTGAGAACTGTGAGATCCCGGAGGAAAGCTGTGATTAACTTTGCAAAGGATGGCTGACTTCTCTTGGATATGACTAGAATAATTTTGAGTTTAGTGTTTGTCTTAAAGGAAAATGAAACCTCATCTTTGTTTCTGGGAAACAACAGAAAACCTGAGGCAAATTTGAGATGAAGAGCGTCTTTCTAGCAGGAAATGTCCCCATTCTTGCCTGTGACATTAGGTAGATCTCTGGGAATACCAAAATCTGAAAAAGGGTATATAATAACAAAGTTTCTGTCACTCTCTTAGAAGACAATCTCAAGCAATAGCCAAAGACTCAGGTGAATAAATTAAAGAGACATTGAGAGATCTTCTAGCCCGGGCCATTCAAAGTGTGGCCCATCCATGAATTGTTTAAGTTTTTAGAAACTTTGGTAGCAATCTGACCCTGCAGCAGCCCTTTCATTGTACTTTAGAGAAGTATACACCTACAATGGATTGGGGGGAAAAATTCTTCACCAGGGATAGTTAGGAAAGTATTGTCAGTCTACCAAAGCCCAAATTGGACAAGGACCTTGAATTTGCCTATGGCTGTTGACTGGAATTATTTTATATATTAATATATCAAGAATTCAAAAAAATAGATAACAATGAACAATGTATGCTATAACTCTCTAGTGTACATTGTTCATTGTTACCTATTTTTTGAATTCTTAATATATTAACATATATTTATAATAATCAATATTTAAGAATATTTACAATAATCAATACCTTACTGCAAGTGACGTCTCTCTTTCTGAGATTTTTTATGCTCCAAGATGACCATAAAGATAAATATTGAATGATTCACCTTAATGAATTAGGAAAAGTTATGCTCATTTGCTAAAATGTGTCTGTTGAGGAATTGGATGCTCTAAAATGGGACTAAAATCTCTTTGTTTAATACTATCAGCTGCTCAGTAACATGGGTTAAGCATCAGTTCAGTCCTGTGTTTTCATGACAGGGCACTAAAGATGGCTAACAGGGCAGATGTAATTATTCAGAGGCGAGAAATGTAAAGTTTAGTGCAGAGTGACCAGCTGTACTCATTGGTCTGCTCATCTATGAGCGATAACAGGGACCATGGTCAGGGGTTTGTATTTGTAGGGGCTTGTTTTGGTCAAGAATAGAAAGACAAGGTTCCACAACAAGTTAACAGCAAGGAATAGACAAATACATGTCCCTCCAGATGATGCTGTAATCTTTGTTTTAAATAGATTTTGTTTTGTGTTGTCAGGGCTCAGAACATGATACCCAAAAGTAAGGTGGCTTGCATGCTGAAAGCTTTGAACTGAAGGACAGGAACTCAGAAACAAGGTCTTTCTGACCTTCTCCCACTCCTCTTTCTCCTGCTCCCTTTTCTCTCCCAAGGCAGCCCATAAAAACCAGAACGCCTCTTCCCCAAGGTGGGTCATAGTAACTAAGAACCGCTCTTTCCCAAAGCCAATCATAAAATCCAGAACTAGTACTCGAACTTTCCCCAGCCTTTCTGTGTAAGCTCTGGCCATAAAGAAAGTCTCTGACCTACCTTATCTGACTGTGGGTCATAAGACCCTCATTCCGGAGGGGTTCTGCCCTATACCCTGGAGGAAGAAATGCAGCACGGAGAGGCCAGGAAGAATCTGGCTGGACAGGCCTTTCTGGGTGTCCCCCTCAGTCTATGACATCAGGTCATTCCCTTTTTGTCCGATACCTTTTTACATGCCTGTCCATTCTTCACTGAACCTGAGCATAAAAATAGACAGTTTTCCCTGGGTCTTTGGGTCTTCATGTCCAAAGGCTCCTGTGTCACATAAAACTTGGATTAAATAAATCTGTTACTTTTTTCTCTTCTTCATCTGTCTTTGTCAGTTTTATTTCAGACCTAGCCAGGAACCCTAGGAGGATTGAAAAAACCTTGTTTGCCCTGAATGGTCAACACTGGATAGGAAAATGGCAACTCAGGCACAACGGCGAGCGGTGAAGGCATTTTTCAGATCACACCTGAAAACCAGTCCTCACAAACACCTCTAAACTGAAGCTGCCCATATCCCATATTTGGTGTAATGCAGATGGTAAAAAGCACAGCCTGATCGTAAGTCACACAGATCTGGGTTTAAATTCCAACTGCACCACTTACTAGCGGGGTGACCTTGGACAAACTCTTTAACTTTTTATGCCTCAGTTTTTCATCTGTAATGTGGGGCTCATAATATTATCTATAACCCCAACTGTAGGTGTGGTAGGAGGGTGAAATGAAATACCACATTGCCTGAACTGGAACAAGTGCTCCATAAACATTAAATTGTTGTAATATTTACAAATCTCTACCTTAGACTGTACACTTCTCATCAGTCAAGAGTTGACTCTTCCCTACCAGGACTTTGCAACATTCTCTGAGAGTAGGAGTCTTTGGGGAATTGTTAAGAAATTAGGGAACACAATTCCAGTTTTTGAGGTATTTATAACATAACTGGGAAGTGATATAATTAAATAGTAAACCGAACACATTAGCACATAGCAGAGTGTAGGAAATATTGATAGTGCTAAAAAACAAACAAAAACAAAACCTTTTTTTTTAAACTGACTAATGAACAATTACTAACTAATAGAGTAAGTATATAAATGCTGAAGGTAAAAACAGTGGGACTATGTGAAAACAAGGAAGAGTAGAGCAATTTAATATGTCAGGGTATCAGGATTGTACATAATGATTCCTTTTTAAGTTTCCATTAATGCTGATATAGTGTGATAGCTAGTATAGTGTGGTGGGTAAGAGTATTGATTGTGAAACCACACTGCCTGAGCCTGAATCCTAGCTTCTTCATCAACAGGTTTATGATATTTGGCATGTTTCTTAAACTTTCAGTGCCTCGATATCCTTATCTGTAAAATGGGTATAATAACAGTACTATCTCCTGTAGCTGTTGGAAGGATTAAATAAATCAATACATATAAAACACTGAAACAGTGCTCAAAACATGATAGCTAAATACATGTGTATAAAATTTTAATTAAATCTGATATGTTAATATATGGGCAAAAAACTTAAAGAAAAATTATTTAATTCTTTTAAAAACCAAATAGCCACTTGGGGATTTTTTTGTTCATGTTTAGTAAATATGCTCTACCTAATAATGCCCTAAACTAAAGAAGTCCTTCAGAGCTACTCTTAGTCTCTCAATTAATACTAAATGGTAATACATACATGTAAAATCTCAAACAGTCAAAAAAAAAAAAAGGACTGTCTGTGGTTGTAGTGACATTAGAATAATAAATCAGTTTCTTCTATTACCTTGAAGCTGCTCTCATTCTATCCACCTGCAAAATTAAACCACACACACACACATGCATGCTACCTCCCGTAGACTAAAAACATGCCCTATTGAGCATCTAACCCCAGCCAAGTACATCTGCTTCTCTTCTGGAATGTTCTTTCCCAGGAAATTGTAGGTAACTCCATCCACTCCATGCAGCCAGAAACACCTGCATCTTCTTCACCAGTGCCCCCCCTTCTAATTAACAACAAAGTTACCTCAACTCCCCCTTCTTAATACCAGCTCTATCTTTTTCATCATCCAATAGCCCAATCAAGGCCACCAACATCTGTCCTAAATTATCAGAATAGGCCTGGAATATGCCTCCAATCTTGCCCTCTGCAAACCATTTTCTACCAGAATAACCTTTCTAAAACATGGACACATACATAATCACTGCCCTCACTTGCTCCCATGGTTCCCCTTTCCCTCAGGACGGCAAGAGGTCTCCTGCTGGTTAAACCCTCCCAATGTGGCTCCTGCCCACTTCTCCTGCCCCCTACTTCTCTCTTCCTCCACCTCTCCATTGTCAGCTCCCAGGACTCCAACCTCTCTCACTTTTGCCTTTGTCTTTGCTTTCCTCTTCTGGGAAGACCCCAGGTCCAGCCATTTCTTTCTCTCCTTCAGGGTCCAGAGCCTTCCCTGACTCCCCAAAACACGGTGCTCAGAGTAGCTTGAGTTTATTTCTCTCTCTCCCCAAGGAAATGCTACATCTCATTCCCAGGGATCTCCAAGAACCTAGGACTATAACACAGAGTTGGCCCTTAATGTTTATTTATTGGATGGATGGATGGACGGATGGATGGATGGATGGATGGACGGATGGGTGGATGGATAAATGAGAAAGGTAACTGTAACTCTTTTCGATGGCTTGGATTAACATAAAAGGGCCCCAACAAGAGAAAGAATTGTGGACACCCAATCAGTTGACCTTGTAGATTGCTATTTTACAAAACATTTTTTAACCAATCAAGAAATGTATTACATTTTCATTCAAGTTTTACTGCAATGAATTCACATTAATGCTACTAATAGTTTTGCATTGAAGATCTAATTTTAAATCATTTTTTCCCATAGGTTCTAAATCTCTGACAAGTACATGGCAAAAGGACACTTATCACACAAATCTTCCTGATATGGAGACAGGGCAGACTCTCGAGGAGAGCCTAAAGCTTTAGCAGAACCACTGCTTTGCATTTGTTCTAATTGCATGGTGCAGGCGTCCTTATTCAGAGAGTTTGCAGATTAAAAGCTAATTTGCTTTAGACCAGCCTGATGCAGAGCCTGTCTCTTGCTTGGGCTTTGTTGTTCACCAGGGTAAAGTGTAATTTTCTGACTCTTCCCAACTACTTAGTTTGAGACAATAATCCACCTTGTCTCCTCTTAATTAAAGCAAATAGCTACCGCTCACAATAGTAGTTCAGAAGGCCCTGGTCTTCTCATTCCCTCTGTGCAAGGAGCTAATTGATTTCCAAATGATAATGGTGTTTACATTAGAAAGCCAAACCCCTTGTATTTAGTCCTTAGCTGCTCATCTTAAACCTTCCCAGTCTCATGAATATCAAATGGCCAAAATACCTCCATTGTCGTCAGTGCCTCTTCAGGGGTCAAGACTCAGTTGCCAAATATTTAACGAGCTCATTGGGTGATCTCTGATTTACATGCTCAGTTCCTACATTCCTATGTCATCCGAATGAGGAGCCTCCATTGGAATTTTCAAGGAATTGCTTTTGCTATTTTATTAGCACATCATCCTATGGTAAAGACACCCCAGGCAACTCTGGGGCAATGGGTGGGTCTTGACTTTAAGGATCAATTTTAGGCCATGGGTATGACAGTTTATGGGAGGAAGCTGTGATGAAGGAAAAAGTAGATAAGCCTCAAGACAGATAAGCAAGGATTGCTAGCAATGGGAGTTCAGGCAGTGTACACTACCACATGCTTAAAATAATTTGCCTACATGGTAGAGACACGTATCACTAAAGGGCTGATGTTCCCGTCCTTGTTTGAAAGTCACAGGAACAGAGCTTCACAGTACACATTCGGCGTTTCCATGATCTCTGACAAGTTTTTCTAGCATCTTGGGTTTCAATTAAGTCAGTAGATGTCTCAAATGTCCCTGCTTTTAGAAGTTCAAACCATAGCTGAAATAAATCATCGTCCTTATCGATCATTTTCTTGGCCTTCTGCAGAGCTTTACACAAATATTGAAATTCCCTTTTCATCACAACGTTTAAGATGAGGTTCAGGCAACCCTCTCGTGGACTGAAATGGGTATTTGTCACGCAAGAGAAGAGCAGGAATTTCGCTTTCCTCAAGCTGAGTTTTGTTTTTAAAGAAACTATTCTCTGAATGTGTTCTTGATCACAGTAAATTGCTCAAGCAACCCAAACGGGGAAGGGGGGCCATCGGGCAACGCTTCAATATAATCACTTTCTAAGTAATTAAAACAGTAACTAATTTCTCTTATAATTAAAAAAAGTTTGCTCATTGGCACACACATCCATCCTAATGCCATATTTAGCAAATACTTTCATTTTTTAAAAAGTATCACTTCCAATACAACAGACTGTCTCCTATCAAGAATGGTATTGTTGCAATTTATGGAAGACTTTCCTCCCTTTGGGTTCTTAGCTCAATCTTCCAATCTCTCTTTGAGCCACTACATTTCAGTGCATCCTAAAACGGTTCCCCTTTCATTCATTCCTTTGTATCTGCAGCGTTATTGCACTTGTACCTAAATTATGTCACCTTGATAAATTTTAAGTAGATTGTTTTGGGGACTAGAACAATAACTAGTACAACAGATATATTTATTAGCTCATTGGGGTGATATTTTATAGATTAGGGCAAATTAAATTTTACCCAGATTACCTCACTTACGCAAGGTCTCCCAGCTTATTCAAGGCAGAGCGCTTACCACAATCCTTTAATCCTAAAATTGCTCGTTTTTCTACTATACACCCTGTTCTTTTAAAGACTTCAGTAAAAGACAACTCTCATCTACACACTTAGAACCCATTCAGCACCACAGTAAACCTTAAAAGCAAACAAATGTTTTAAAATGTAGCATTCTTGCTAACTTCCTATCCTTAGGGACAAGAGTATATAATCCATGACTCTGCAGGTAAAACCCTACACTAAGAACTCCAAAGGTTGCTAAATTCCTTGGTCACAGAATTCTGCATCGCCAAATATCTTTTTAATAAATGAGTCATTGGCTAGGGCATCTGATATTTTGTTTTGTTCTTTTCGATTAGAAAGATTGTTTATTTTATTTATATTCTCTCACAGGATTGGTCGCGTGGGTATTAACATCATAGCACCTGTCCCAGTGTGTCCAGGGCTGAAAATAAACATGAGAGACATGGTCCTTGTCCTCAAAGAGCATCCAGGAAAAATAAGTGTTGAAGGCTTTGCATAGCATCCAGAAATTCAAAAGAATATAGAATCCCTTGTCTCTGGTAGGTGAAACTAACAGCCACCTCACGGAACAGAATCAGGGCTGGCGTTCAGTTCCTTCTTTTTTTTTTTTTTTTTTTTTTTTTTGAGATGGAGTCTCGCTCTGTTGCCCAGGCTGGAGTGCAGTGGTGCAATCTCGGCTCACTGCAACCTCTGCCTCTGGGATTCAAGCTATTCTCCTGCCTCAGCCTCCTGAGTAGCTGGGGTTACAGGTGCGTGCCACCAGGCCTGGCTAATTTTTATATTTTTTAGTAGAGACGGGGTTTCACCGTGTTGGCCAGGCTGGTTTCGAACTCCCGATGACCTCAGGTGATTCCCCCCGCCTCAGCCTCCCAAAGTGCTGGGATTACAGGTGTGAGCCACTGCGCCCAGCCCAGTTCCTTCTTAAGTAGAGAGGGAAGGTTGGTAGAGCCCCGAACGATGCAGCCAACCATCCTCGAATGCAGCAGGAACAGAAAGAAGGAAAGCAGTGATGGAGGAATGTAAAATGTGAAGCTAAAACCCACAGCACGTCGCATCAGCAAGGAGATGAATTCGCAGGAAGTAAACATCAGTATCGATGGTTTAAGAGTCTGAGAAACTCAAAAGCAATTTTCATAAACTCTCAAATATAGCTTTGAATAATGGAAAGCTTAAACAGTCCCTTACAAAGGAAAGTCTCTTTTGAAAGGATTCCAGAAAACCATGAAATGCTGTCGATAAGGCTATGCCAATGTGTGAAGCTCGCCACAATCTGTGCTTCATGCTTTTCCCCATTTTTGTCTTTCTTGAAAAAAAAAAAAAATTCACTGAGCTTCTTTACTCTGAAAGCCAACAATCACAACAATCACAACAAAAACAACAATAAAAGTGTTTTCTAAAACTGCAATCTCTTTTGCCCCCACAAGAAGGGGGCCAGGTGGTTGACTTATTTGATTTCTTCTGTGGAAATAATGTCAAAAAATAGCATTTGCAACGCCGGAGAAAAGATGTTTGACGGAAAGTTCTGGCAGGGATGTGTAAGTGAACTCACAAAGTTTCTGGGCCTTATCAACCTTTGTATTGAGGATTAATTATAGGTTGGCTTGAACCTCAGACTTCACCGGCATGTTTACCAAGACAAAGTGGGCTGATTGGCTTTTTTCAACCAACGTAAACTATCAATTTAGTGTAGTCTTAACTTCCTTTCTCTTTTTTTTATATTATACTTTAAGTTTTAGGGTACATGTGCACAACCCGCAGGTTTGTTACATATGTATACATGTGCCATGTTGGTGTGCTGCACCCATTAACTCATCATTTACATTAGGTATCTCTCCTAATGCTATCCCTCCCCCTCCCCCCACCCCACAACAGGCCCCGGTGTGTGATGTTCCCCTTCCTGTGTCCATGTGTTCTCATTGTTCACTTCCCACCTATGAGTGAGAACATGCGGTGTTTGGTTTTTTGTCCTTGCGATAGTTTGCTGAGAATGATGGTTTCCAGCTTCATTCATGTCCCTACAAAGGACATGAACTCATCATTTTTTATGGCTGCATAGTATTCCACAGTGTATATGTGCCACATTTTCTTAATCCAGTCTATCATTGTTGGACATTTGGGTTGGTTCCAAGTCTTTGCTATTGTGAATAGTGCCACAATAAACGTACATGTGCATGTGTCTTTATAGTAGCATGAGTTATAATCCTTTGGGTATATACCCAGTAATGGGATGGCTGGGTCAAATGGTATTTCTAGTTCTAGATCCCTGAGGAATTGCCACACTGACTTCCACAATGGTTGAACTAGTTTACAGTCCCACCAACAGTGTAAAAGTGTTCCTATTTGTGGAGTCTTAACTTTCTAAATGTTTTTCCTGCTGACGATTTCAGGTATTTTTCCTCCTCCGTGCTGACCAATTATTTTCAATTAGACTGATAATTGCATTGTATAGTTGAAAGGCCCAATTAATATCTTTAAAGCAACAATGTTAAGTAGTATTTAGTGGAAATTTTGTATTTAGCTGTCGAGAAATAATCACGCTTACATTTATGAAGCACCTTTCATCCTGATGAATACCAAGGTGCTATTATAAATTTCATATGCTCCATTACTAATTATAGGTCAGAATCTTGTCACTCCAGCACTCTGGCATCCTGTTGGAGGTGAAGAATGATTGACTAACTCCATAGCATTTGTAAACCATTTTTAAAGCCTCTTGTACAATGGGAACGGTGAAGGCAAGGGATCGAATGGAAGGCAATTGGTCTGAGGATTCTTGGAAGATGGTCCCCCAGCCCACCACCACCCCCGGGAGCGGCTACTCATCAGGAGAGAGGTACAGCAAGCTGCATAAAGGACTTACATGTGAACAATGAACCCCCTTTTCAGGGACAGAGAAGGGTGAGCCCACAATACCATGGCAAGTCTGTGATTACTCGCTTCCCAACAACTAAAACAAATTCATCACAGCAAATCAGCATCAGCCAGCCTCGGAAGGGCCATCCATCATCACGGGATATTCGTTCCATCCTCATTCAGAGATGCTCAGCCACTGGCTGCAGCATTACCTGAGATACAAACCATGTGCACAAGGAAGGGGTAATCGTGAGCATGCCCTCAACAGATCTAAGGGCATGTTTGTGCTGGGGCAGTGGAGCTGGGAATATGGGGAACAAATTACTCCCAACCTGCCCATCATGCCCTGTCTTCCAGTAGATCAAAAACCTGAAATGTAAAGGTAGGTCTTACAGATGCTAAGGTTTCTAGTAAGAGGACAGAGACACACAAGACTTGTGAATGACCTTCAGGGGCCAGTCCCTGAGGTCTGAGGACCTGAGACAAGTTATTCATGTATTCGTTCATTCAGTAAACACTTATCAAGTGCCTACTATTAACAGGTGCTGATTCAGGCCCTGAGAATAGAGGAGGAAACAAGGCAAGCAAAAGTCCTTGCTCTCAGATGTAAAAAGGAAGATTAAGCCAAGGAAGGATGGAATCAAATATGTGTTCTTCCACTCAGAAACTATAAATCAAGTCCTCATCTGGGCAGGACCTATGACAGAATGGAGAAAGTGCAGAGACCCCGAGGAGAATTGGCCCCTTCCTTTATGGAGGCCTGGAGTGCAAGGTGATCACAGATACTCCTAAGCTCATGCTTCATTCAGTCTGACTAAAAGCAATGAAGGAAAAGGACCGGCTATGAGGAGATCCTGAAAAAGCAAGAGGGGACAGCCGACGACTCCATGGAGATAGACAGACTGATTACAGGGATGAAAAAAGGAATGCAAAACTGACCGAAAGCAAGACAATTCGAAAAGAACAAGCAGTACGTGAAGGGGATTTTTTTTCCAAACAACCAAAAAAAAGAAAAAAAGAAAAAAGAAAAAAAAAGCATTCTGCATAGGAAAGATTTGATACAAGATGTTGGGCAAGAACCCTGGGGAAGACGCAACCACAAATTCCTGGCTCCAATGGCTGCTTCCATCTGGGGCCTGACTAAGAGGGCAGGGTCGAGGTCGATAAGAGAGGAATGACTTGGAATCCCGGACCAGGCCAAAGGGAGCCGGCTTTCCAACCGAGGGATGAGGCACGGCGTCTTTGCTTGCTGCATGTCTGAATCATCATGAAACTGCGATTAGGGTTGATACACGTGCATTTCTGTCAGTAAATTCGAGTACCTTAAATAACAGCCTAAGTCTCAGCTGTTGTGGGGAAGAGACACCACAGTGAAGTAAGAGGGTGATTTTCAAGAAAGGACCATTTTTTTAAATCCTGGGTTTTTAGAAAGAGGAAGGAAGAAAATTATGTTCCCTCCCAAATGCATCCAATGGTTGTACGTGGGGTGAAAGGAATGAGTTCATTCCATCTGTGCAGCAGATAAGAGAAACTGTGGCATGGAAAGGGAAAGGAATTCAAGGCAGAAACCCATCAACACCCCATGAAGCCCCACAGTATGTTTCTCCATCTGTATCATAGCACACGCCATCATTCACAACAACTCGTTCTGCAATCGTGGTGGTGGCTACCTTGACATCAGGTTGCGGCAAGTACTACCCATGCTCACTGCTAGATTGCAGCAGGCATCTCAAGGACAGAAACTCTATCTACTCTTTCCTATTTGATGATAACTGAATTATTCCAATTAATGATAGCACTGCTCTTTTCTAAAAATCTTTTTATTTTCCGTACTGTCTATTAACATAAACTTTTAGCAATGGTTACTTTTATAAGCTGAACACTTTTGTACCTACTTTCACTAATTGCATCCCTAAATTCCTTATTTATCTCCTAAAGTACCTGGACCTGCAGACACAGCCAGGCATGGAATGCCACATAAGGGAAGCTTGGCCTGAGGCTCAGCTCCTCTCTGGATGCTACCTTTGATCAAATGATTTAAGGGTTACATTTTTACCTTTTTTCTGATGCTGGTGGAAGGAACATTCTTCTTCACGTAAAAGTAGTTCAAACCCTAATGTATTAAGAACAATAGATTCCAAAATCAATTACATCATCCTTCCAAAGGTTCAGAATCCTAATACATATGATAGCAGGGATTCTCACAATATTCTTGCAAAGCAGAGAAGAAATTGTTAGGCTTTTTTTATTTTTAGGATAGAACAATTAGATTAAAAATTTCAGATGTTTAGCCATAGGTAGTTCTGGGACTGGAATACCCTTGTCATACTTGGAGCCCATGGTTTATGTAATGCAAAGTAACAATAAAGCAGCAAGCATTGTGCTCAGCGCTTAGTATCGGGTATCTCACCTAATCATCACAGCTACCGCAGGAAGGAGACACTATTATTAACGTTGGCTAAAGCCAAAGAGGCTGGGGTCAGAAATTGGGAGAGTTGGCATTCATACCCAGGTCTTCCTTCAGCATTCGATCTCCTCACTTCTGTGTTAGACAAACCTTTATTTAAAACTGTAATGCACTGACACACTTTAGTTTGAGTGATGGGGTTACAACAAAAAACAACACTGTTCCCCCATATTCTCCTTCTCTGGAAAAAAATGACCCCAAGAAACACGGCAACTTACAGAAGAGAAATAAGCAGGAAAGCTACAGTAGAGAAGAGGAAGACTGAGCTTGATTTTCATCCAGGGGCAGAAGAAAACAATGTGAACTAAAGAGAAAGTAGGTGAGGGTAGGCGCCAACCTCAGCTGCCAAGCAGAGATGGGGACAGGAACTGGGAGGGGTTGGGGGTCAGACTGGGGACAGCTGATATCCACACGGGGCCAGGAAGGCAACTGCATGCTTCCTGGGGGCTTCCTCCAAGTTCACTTGCTCTGATCTTCTTAATGCTTCCACCAACTGGATTCTCATCTAGACCAACAGACCATCTGTGAATCATCCCCAGGTCAAATGCTACTGCGTCTACCCAAATCTCACATGCCCCAATTTCAGACCTTGTCTCTGAATTAAAAGTTGACTTTTAATTCGTGTAAAGCACCTAGACATCCTTCATTTTGAATTTTGAACGTCCTCGTCTCCTGATCATAATCCCTGCATTCTTCAGACGATCATTCCCACCCTCTACCCTCCCTGTCTCTTTCTTCCTTTCTTTTCTCTTTTTTTATTTGAAACTTTTTATCTCAAAATTCCTATTTCCTTGGTAAGTTATAACCTAAAATAGTCTTGTAATTGCAGTCCCTAAACAGATCAGTCAGCCAGCAAATGTTTATTGTGTCGTCCCAAGTGTAGTGCTGAAGGCAATACAAGAGGGGTATAGTCAAGGCAAGTGTCCTTGGGGAATTTAGTTGGGGGATAAAACACAAAAAGTAACTATGGATTTTAGGAGAATAGCACATCTGAGCTCTCTGGCCCCTTGATGGCCACAATTCACATTCCAGCTGCCCCTACCTACTCCTTCCAATACAGCCCTTCTAAGCACAGCATTAAACACAAGAAATACTCCATAATCTGACATCCTCCAGTTGCCCTAACTTTAGCCCCCAACTCCTACCCACCTCTCCCCACAAAAATCATAAAAGATTCTGCCTGATTCTCTCTGATTCTCCCCTTCTTCCTGCACTAACGTATCTGAACTCTAAAGTAACCCTCATTTCAGGGCACATGCAGCTTACAAATCTTCTTTCTCACAGAGAAACTCACAGACTAATTAGGTAATGTTGTTAAAGCAGTTTTAAATCCTTAAATTATACAATCCCTGGGTTTTTCTTAATCTCCCTAAATTACTCTAATTTTATGTTTCTCCTTGGTGCATTGTATCACCCAGAATTTGTAATGGTAAGTCTCCCAAACTGTCTACACAGCAATGGTCTGGTCTATTTAAAACTCACCATTGGCTTCCACTTACGTGATTATTGAAGGACATTTTACCTCCCTATAAACAAGTTCTCAGAGAATGTCCTTTCCTGTCTCCATGGATCCTCAGTAACAACCAGCATTGGTGACACACTGCCACATCAGGTTTCCAAAAAAATTGTTGTTATTTTTCCATGCTGTACGGAAGACTACAAAGAGCTGTTGCCACATCTCTGCGTGCAGATTTTAGAAACCATTATTTCATCCTAGAGATTGTATCGGGAAATCTCAACTTTCCTTTTTGGTCTTTGCTTATCAGAGCTCAGTTGAGTAATGGAGTACAGAGACGCAGCGAAAAGAACTTCAGCTATTTGGGAAGATTACCGATGGAAAGACTTCCAGGTATGCTTCACCTGGGGATCACCAGGTAATTATTATCAACAGTTGTTTCCAGAAGCCCAGCAAATGCTGGCCCAGGGCACCAGGAGACAGCGCCTGCCTCCACCATCTCAGGGTGAAACAACCTCCAGCAAGTCATTTGATCTCCCTGACCTCTACCTTCCTTCCTATAAAAATATTGAAGCAGATGAGCAGCGAGATCTTCTCCAGCTCAAAAATAGTCTAAGTTATTAATAAGATTTATATAGAACAAGAGATTCATAAGTGGAACCTAGATAATCCATGTCAGAGGGCTTTTCATTCTCTCCAGGCAATTTAAAAAATGATTGAGCAACAATATCATATAATTTTTAAATGATTTTTTTAAGTCAGAGTCATCAGATCATAAACTGGGACAATGTTCTTTTCATTTCATTTTATTTATTTATTTATTTTTGTTGAGACAGAGTCTCACTGTTGCCCAGGCTGGAGTGCAGGGGTGTGATCTTGGCTCACTGCAACCTCCACCTCCCAGATTCAAGCAATTCTCCTGCCTCAGCCTCTGGAGTAGCTGGGATTACAGGTGCGCACCACCATGCCCAGCTAATTTTTGTAGTTTTAGTAGAAACGGGGTTTCACCACGTTGGCCAGGCTGGTCTCGAACTCCTGACCCCAAGGGATCCACCCGCCTCGGCCTCCCAAAGTGCTGGGATTACAAGCGTGAGCCACCGTGCTCAGCCAGGGATGATGTTCTTTTTGATGAAATCCAAACTAGGCTGAGGAATTGTGTTTGATGAGTTTTCTGTGGACCAGAATATTTATAGTATAATGCCAATAAATACAACATTGGAGTAAAAATTTGAAAAACCCCCAAAAGAACATAACCAGGCCTTCAGGCCAGTAGCCTTGATAGGTCAGCGTTCTCAAGTTCTATGTTCTATGAGAACAAAGATCCTCTTCTTCTCTCCCTCTCCTCTTCCCTTCCTTCCACCCTCTCTTCTTCCTTCCTTCCTCCCTTCCTTCTCCTTCCTTCTATCCTTTCTTCCTTCCTTCTCTCCCTTTCTCTCTGCTTCTTACTTTTCTCCTCTCTTTTTGCTTTTTTCTTTTTGCTTTAACGTTAGTGTTTTTCAGGTCACAAGCTCATGTAGGCAAATAATCAGAGATAAAAACCATCTGGAATTAACGTGAGATTTCACTGCCTCCAGCACTATCCACATATGGTAGCCACTAGCCACATGTGGGCTTTACATTTCAATTTAAATTAATTAAAATTAAGTAAAATTAAAAGTCTGGTTTTTCCATTGCATGAGCTACATTTGGAGTGCTTGTGTTCAACAGCCACCAGTGGCTACTGACTCATATATTGGAGAATGCAGACATAGGGCACATGCATTCCTGCACAGAGTTCCACTGGACAGTGCTAGATGGCTGCTAGTTACAAGGTTTGAGACTTGTTTCAGAAAAAGCTTTTCTCTGAGCCTGAAGTCAGCCTGTCTGACTTCAAACCCCACCACTACCACCCGCTAGCTATAGTGCCCTTGAACTAGTCATTTTAGTGTTGTAAGCCTGTTTCCTTTTGGGTAAATATAGAAATAACAATTATGAATGGCTCACACTGTTGATGTGGGGATTAAGTGTTAGACTATCACACGTAAGGCTCGGTGCCTAGGCCCTAGTGAGTGCTCAATGTGGATTGACTATTGTTTTTAATATTAATCCTTAAGATGGAAAAGTGAGAGTAAGAAAAAAAAGTGGCCCTACCTGCTCTCGAGGCTGATGTAGAGGTCTATTATCTGTCAAATGCTGCTCTGTTTTGATGCCTAGGAGTATTTTCTCCATAGAGAAAAGTCTCCCTTATTATTTATCCCCCACCAAACCCTCCTACTTTCAGTTCAACTCCTTATGCAGAATCTTAAAATTCCTGATACTCTTCTCATAATAGTATTTAATTTAAAGAAACAGGACTGAGGGCAGATAATCAATACAGAATCATATGGTAATGATCTATGTGTGTACTAAAAACCTATGGCTAGCTTTTCACTCGGTCAAATTCAAATAGAGAATTAGCTTCAAAAGCATATGTGATACATTACAGAAATAAACATAAGAATTAAAGGAAAATCCATTTTTAAAATGCTTTTTTCAAAAATACCCATTCCACGGGAATAAATTCAAGGTGATAGCTAATGCTTCCAGACAGTTTTGAGGTATGCACCTTCTTGCTGCAGAGGGATACAAACTCCTCTGCTTCTCCTTCCACGCTGAAACTGTGAAATTAAATAGTATATTGGGGTGGGTGCGGTGGCTCACACCTGTAATCCCAGCACGTTAGGAGGCGGAGGCAGGGGGATCACCTGAGGTCAGGAGTTTGAGACCAGCCTGGCCAATGTGGTGAAACCCCATCTCTACTAAAAATACAAGAATTAGCTGGGTGTGGTAGCAGGCGCCTGTAATCCCAGCTACTTGGGAGATTGAGGCAGGAGAATCTCTTGAACCCAGGAGGTGGAGGTTGCAGTGAGCCGAGATCGTGCCATTGCCCTCCAGCCTGGGTGACAAGAGTGAAACTCCATCTCTAAATAAATAAATCGTATCTTGTCTGAAGGTCCACTGACTTTTCAACCACATTCTCTGACTACCAACCAATAGATCTGTTAGGTTGCTGCAACAGTAACTGCAGTTTTACCATTGAAAGTAAAGGCAAAAACTGCAACTACATTTGCATCAACCTCATAGCCTCTCAGAGAAGAGAAACCAGGGAGATGACTGGACAACCAGCAGCTCTTCTCTCTTCCTGTGTTTTCTGGAAGATCTTGTACCTCACCTGTCATCTCCAAGCATTGGGCATAACCACGCTGCCTTCACTCACAGCGATGTCAGGGGAGCCCACAGCTACACCAGTGAGGCACTTCTGCAGACAGAAGACGGGCCTGGGAAGCAGAAGAACTGCATTTTTCATTTGAGCTCAGCCACAAGCATGTTTATGTTGAGCACATCGTTTTCTTCTTTATAAAGTGAAGGAGTTAAAGCTAGATGATCTCTCAGGTCCCTTCAAGAATCCATCATTTTCATGGCGAGATTTAGTACAAACAGAATTTCAAACAGGTGCTTTTTTTTTCTGGTGGAGAATTTTTGGTGAACAGAGACAGATAAAATAAAGCAGAGCATCCAAACACCGAATGGCATTTTAAAAAAAAAATAGGAACAAAGTTCCAGTTCTCTTCTGTTTGGTTCTGTGCCTTCCCATGGCTTCCTCACCGGTAGGAACCTTCTCTTCTCTTGGTGGGGCCAGTGACTCCCATGTGCACACTGTAGAATTTCCAACTGGATCCCTTATTATGTATCAAGAAGTAAAGGATTTGTTTTCATTTTTGCTTGGATTTCTTTCTGCATTTCAATAGGAGCCAAACCAAATTCTTAAGCTGAAGAAACTATAAATATCATCCTAAATAATTAGAAAGGTGAGTTCTGGGAGCTGAGTGCCTTTCCCCAAACATTTTATCTACTCAGTAGATATTCTACTCTATCCAATATGGTTTTCCTTCACTTTATCTTCACAGGTAAATCATAAACCAAAGAAATCATTGGCTTTTTTAATTTCAGTGCTTTTTTCATAAAATATAATTCTTCTCATTGTCCTACACTTTAAGAGGCAGCTTCTTTGCACATTAACGAATGCAGGATCTCAAGCAAAATATGATTGCTTTGGAGAGGCCGCATTTTGGCAGAGCAATGGAAGGCCAGGTTCATGAACTAATTGTCACCTATGCCAGTGTAAGTAATTCCTTTGATCACAGTCTTAATTTTCAGGTTCCTCCACCATCCACCCACTCAAGATAGTATAAAAACAAGATAAGCAATTAATAAAAGAAACTTTTTAAAAACAAGTGAAATGGTCCCAGGTTGACCAGTCCATACTGAAGCAGATTGTCATTTGCCTCTGTATTTGCCAGAAGCTAGGGAGCCCCTCTTGGCTTATGAGAGAGCAAAGCAACTGCCCAAAACTACAAGTTCCGGCATGCAATGGTCCACAGAGATCAAAGAAACATAATTGAAGATGATAGTATCTTCATTTTAATTTAAAAAATTCGCTTATCTTCAAAGAGCTTTTCAAACACTCACAGCACTTCCTAAGTCCCATACTATTATAACTTTTATCTAAAGATGGATAAGAAGAGGCTAGGAGATCAAATTTGATTGAATTTAACCATAAAAGTTGCCCATCATAGGGAGCCTCCGGAGCTCACATTTTTTCACATTCCCCTGAGATTTTAGTTGCTAAATAAAACCCAAGAGCTCTTTTCAGATGGCTTTCTCATGTCATTGATTACTTTCTGGGAGAAACAGTCTAAATGGCAGGAGACCCTGATCTTCAAATAGGATTCATCAGATGCCAGGCTCTCACTGTTTCCCAGCAGAATGACAGTTTTGCTGCTAGAAACAAGAAAACAAATTTTAAGTTAAAGCTGTTGTGAAGGAAACCCAAACTAGGAAATCAGGAAAGATCAAGAAAGCTACTAACTAGAGAGAGAAATAGCTAATCTCCAGAAAACATGATACAGGGGCTGCCCGAAGCCATCCACACCTCATCTGCACCAGTCATTATCAGAACAAAAGCACCCCCAACATGAAATGTTTCCTCTGGGACAAGTGAGGAGATAATGATATCGGAGTTAAGAAGAAATCATTTAGGCAGATAGTGAGGGTACGGGAGTCCTCATTAAGGTTTTGCTTTTAATGAAAAGCAGCCCCCAAATTATTTTCTTTTCTAACAAAGAGCAGCCTGTAAAATCGAGCTGCAGACATAGACAAGCAAGCTGGAAGTTTGCACAAGTGAATGCCGGAGGTTGTGCCAACAGGAAAAGGCTACCTGGGACTAGGCATATTCAAAATGGCGGCTCCACCTTCCCTTCTCTTTGCCAGCTTCCCTTCTCTTACAGCTTTGTGCAGTAAGGAGCAGACAAGACGGCGCTGGCCAAGTGGAAAGCCTATTTGCATAATAAGATAAGGGTGGGGTGGCCAGCCTTCCCTGTGCTATATAAACGTCACACCTGGTCCAACCAATCTGTGGGCCCTACGTAAATCAGACACCACCTCCTCAAGCCTGCCTATAAAACCTGGTGCTCTCCACCACAGGTCAGATTTCCCCTTCTGAAGCCCCTCTCTTTTGCAAGGGAGAGAGCTGTTCTCCTTCCTCTTTCTTTTGCCTATTAAACCTCTGCTCCTAAACTCACTCCTGGTGTGTGTCCATGTCTTTAATCTTCTTGGCACGTGACGGCAAACCCCGGGTATTTACCCCAGACAACGATGCTGCTTCAGTAACACCACGGCTGTCCTTCCACAGATCATTGACACTTCACACCCATACCAGGTTAATGACAGATGGCCACTCAAAAGAGATCCACCAGAAACAAAGGATCTGTACTGTGTGCAGCTGTGAATGAATTTGTTGGGTGATACATAGGGTGTTGATACAGCTACTTTGTTTCATTCTCCCACATTCCTTCTCCTGTTCTCTTTGTATTTGTTTCTGATTCAGTTATCACCAAATTACACATTTTAATTAAATTATGCAAGATTCAAACTTTCCCTGCTTTGAACATTTCAGTAAACATTTCCACACACTTACCTACAGCCATGCCACAATTCCTTGCAGATAATTGAGGGCAATTCTGACAGCTTCTCAGTAAGTAGAATTTTTTAAAACATATAAATGAATTTTTACTAAAATCTACTCAGCTGAAGCTCAGTACAACTCTTATTTTTGCTTTTCCATTTCAATTTCCTGAACCATATTTTGTCCCTTTGTCTTTTCCTGGGTGTGTCCTGCTCACACACAAGTCCAGGAGCAAGCTCTACTACTGGAACCTTGCTATGGGGTCCCCTCCTTTAGAAGAACAAGCGGCAAAGTTAATCCTGTCTACTTCCCTCCTGCTATCAAAGACATCAACCAGTTGCCCATTTCTTCCTCTCTTGTTCCCAATAAGTTGTTCATGTGTGTCTTCTCTTCATCATAAAGCCTTGGCCCGTGCTCAAATTTCAGTCCAGGCCTTCACTGTTTCTCTTTTAAGAGATATAGTTGTCTTTTTATCATGGCTTCTTTTGGCTTTGACCCTCTTAATTGCTCCCTTTTATTTCATTGCTAATAAGCTCACCCTCTAAAGGATCAACTCCAATGCATCATCTCCAATGCATCAACTCCAATGCATCATCTCCAATGCATCAACTCCAATGCATCATCTCCAATGCATCATATCCAGTGTATCAATTCCAATTCATCATCTCCAAAGTATCAACTCCAATTTATTATCTCCAATGCATCAAATCCAATGCATCAACTCCAATCCATCAACTCCAGTTCGCCATCTCCAAGCATTAACTCCAATGCAACTCTAATGCATCAACTCCAGTGAATCAACTTCAATGTGTCATCTCCAATGCATCGACTCAAATGCTTTAACTCCAATGCATGGTCTCCAGTGCCTCAACTTTTTCTTCAAGTGTTGCTTTTAAACTTGTTTATCTTCTCAGGTTTTCTTATAGCAATTGTTAGATAAGAACAGTGTATAATATTTTTAAATTGAATGCAGAATTAAGTTTCCATAGGTCAAAAGTTAATCTATATTCAAAAGAATGTCTGACTAAGCCAGTTGACTCCACTAATAGCAGGAGCCAATGAGGCTGCAATCAGAAAGTAGTTACCTTTTTATAGAGAAATGTTTTTGTTTCCCATTCACAAACTGAACCAGTAATTCCAGAAAGCAGTATACAACTGTGGGTCCTTTAGTTACAAGTAGAGAAGGAATCAAAAGACCATCAGAGGTCTTGCAATCATTAAGAGAAATGAGCCACTTGAGGACACATATCCTTCCGTATGCTGTATCTTTCCTAAGTGAAAGTTAACCCATGAAACTTATTTCAGACAACAAATTACTTTACAGCATGGTATCTCTAATTACAATGAGTTATCTAAAGCTCCACAGATTCAAAAACTGGAAAGATAGCAACTGAGAGGACTTTACAATTACTCACTGACTTGCAAGTCAGTGCCTGCTCTCAGCTCTCATGACGAAATACAGACCAAGAAGAAGAGAAAATATGATATAACCCTGATAATATTTAGGGACCACCCCCTTTATGCTAGGCACATGTATTACATCATTTAACCCTCACAATAAAACTAGTCTTCTATAGAATGTTGATAAGTTAATAGAACCAGAGTAATTCATTCACATCCATCAAAACATCAAATGTCCATCCATCCCTATCCTAAGTTGCTCTGGGACCACACATTAATTTGCTTGGAGTTATTACGAGGTAAAAAGACTTTAAACTCTAACAAAGTATAGTTAAAAGGAAATGAGGACATCTGGCCTGACTCCAGGGAAGTCGGACGGTGCTTTAAAATGTCTTTCCAACTGTCATGCAGAGAAGGGATCATGTTTGTTTTGTATGGCCAAAGGAGATGGGGAGATTTCAGACCAGCATAAAATTTTGTAGCTGTGAGGGGAATGAACTTCCTTGAGAAGAGAGCTCATGTCACCAAAGGAACTGAATTGTATGAAATAATACTTACCCAACAAGATAAATTAAGTGCTAAGTACTTTACCAAGCACTGGTAATAAGAGGACCTAGATAAATGTCCGCATACAATAAAAATGCAGTGTGGTAAGTTGAGACAATAAGGACCTAGACAGGTGTTGGGGGAACACAAAAGAGGGTCTGCCATCTCAGCTTGAAGGATGGGAGTAGGGGTGGAAAGTGAGGCTTCCGGTAGACAGCTCACCTGAATGGAGTCTCAGAGAGGGAGGAGGGATTAGGCAGATGAGGAAAGTGGGAAGGGCGTTCCAGGTATCCGTGACAGGATGATCAAACTCTCAGAGATAGAGATAGTACAGAGGTGATTCAGATAGCAGATGAGTGGTTGGACTCGCAGACACTTACCATCCAATTCTGATTCGGTAACTCCTGAAATTGATTAAGAAAACAATTGTCAGTGACAGAATTTATTCACACGGAGTCAGCTCTACTTTATCGCTGAATAAGGAAGGGAATAGCTTAAGGAAGCTGGGAAATAGCCCAAAACAAACGTCAAATTCCCTGTCCTTCCAGGAAGAGGAACAGAAGAACAGGAGGTGAGGCATAATGAAGAAAACACATGATGAGATCATTAGAGGCCCACACTCCAAAACTGAGCCAGGCGGAGGGACTGAGAAGCAACGTTTTGCAAAAGAAAAAAGTGGACACCTGAAAAAAACAAAACAAAACAAAACAAAATCCTGCAGATGTAAAAACATCAAGAACCCATCTGGTCTAGTCCTGAGATTATGCAAATGAGACCCAGGGAAGGAAGGCACCTTGCCCAATGTCTCCTGGCTGTTTGGAAGAAGGGGTACCTGATTCCAAACCCAGGGGGTTTCCATGGTGCCATGAGGTTCAGTCTTTTGTTTTTGGGTGGTTTTTTTTTTTTTTTTTTTTTTTTTAACTCTAATACAAAAATTTTAGGCCAGGCGCGGTGGCTCACGCCTGTAATCCCAGCACTTTGGAAAGCTGAGGTGAGCAGATCACTTGAGGTTAGGAGTTCAAGACCGGCCTAGCCAACATGGTGAAACCCTCTCTCTTCTATAAATATAAAAAATTAGCCAAGTGTGGTGGCACATTCCTGTAATCCCAGCTTTTCAGGAGGCTGAGGCAGGAGAATCACTTGAACCCAGGAGGCGGAGGTTACAGTGAGCTAAGATTGCACTGCACTCCAGCCTGGGTGACAGAGTGAGACTCTGCCTCAAAAAAAAAAAAAAAAAAAAAAATGCTGCTATGCTTTTTTGGCTTTCTTCCCTAGGGATCAGGATGGTAATTATTTGTTTTGATTTAGAATACTTTCCTTTTACAGTTCCTGCTGGCCTTGGAGGCTCCACGCAGGGAAGAGAGTAAATGGAGACGGTAGTAAGTGGTTCACAGCAGGGGATAACATCAACAAGACTTCCAAAACAGATTTTCACGCAGCAAATCTCTGGTGAGAGTAACCCAGGACCAACCACATTAACACAATTTGTTGAACCCTTTTGCCTGAAGAGGGTCATGTCATAAAGCATTTCATAAGCATCACTGTTTTCTCAAAGTGCAACTCTATTTATTTTATTTTATTTTATTTTATCTTATTTTTGTGACAGGGTCTCACTCTGTCACCCAGGCTAAAGGGTAGTAGTATAACCACAGCTCACTGCAGCCTCAAACTCCAGGGCTTAAGCGATCCTCCCACCTCAGCCTCCTGATAGCTGGAACTACAGACACACGTCACCTTGCCTGGCTAATTTTTGTTTTTTGACTTTTTTAGTAGAGACAAGGGTTCCCCGTGTTGCTCAGGCTGGTCTCAAACTCCTGGGCTCAAGCAGTCCGCCTGCCTCAGCCTCCCAAAAGTGCTGGGATTACAGGCATGAATCACTATGCCCAGCCATGAAACTCTATTTAAAAGGAATAAATATTTTTCTTTCTTGGAGGCAACTCAGCAAAAACATGAATACCTATAATGACCATTTTTTCTTGTTATTTTAATAGATTCAAAAAACATATTTGTTTGTTTTGCATAAACTCAGCAGTAAATAGAAACTCGTAGGTACCTGGAGAATACATTTGATTAAATTTTCACAGGTTTGAAAGCCAATTGGTATGGCAGAATAAATAAGGAAGTCAATGGTTTTTGGCATAAAACCACCTTGTGCAATTCAACAGGGAAGCACTCTACCTGATGGACAGACAAAATTAATGACATTTAAGCTTCCAAATCTCTACCTACTATCCCAGAAACAAGTGACAATGCAGAACCACAGTAAAGGCGCCTCTTAATATTTTAAATCACAATAAAAATTACCATAAAAACTCATTACTCATATTCATTGAATACAGTATTTATCAAAGTGCCC
Organism: Homo sapiens; assembly: GCF_000001405.40. Taxonomy (NCBI): domain Eukaryota; kingdom Metazoa; phylum Chordata; class Mammalia; order Primates; family Hominidae; genus Homo; species Homo sapiens. Next base: position 8,271,167 of record NC_000010.11, on the reverse strand, counting down.
TAAACCAAAACACTCAATGGGGCACAACACCTAAAATCTTTTTAGAACAAGACATGAAACACATACACAAAACAAAGAAACATATGTAATAAATATAAATATACTAAATATACCAAATTAATAAATATACCAAACAAAACTATTACATTAACCTTTAAGTTGGATTAGTATGCATTAAATATTAACATCAAATATTAATATTAAATTAGTTTAATATTTGGCAAATCTATATGAAAAGTTCCCTCTTTTTAATACAAGGGTGGCAACTTATATTTTCAAACTTTCTACCTACTTTAAATACAATTCTATTTTAAAGCTATTTATTCAAGGTTGATAATTTCTCCCACACACTAAAAATCAAAACACAGGTTCTCATGTTTTCTAACATGCATTATTTTCAAAATTATTTCAAGATAGAAAATAAAAGAGGCAAGGAAACATTCTGAAACAAGCTGTGCACATCCCAAGTCCAGCTCTGAAGTCTCCGAAGGTCCAAAATTTGTATTTCATTACTGGTCTAAATTCATTCACATCACATTATGAAGTTGCAGTTTTTGTCCAAAATATAAGATTCAGTCACATTGCGATAGTCCTGTCATGTGAACTTTTTGTTTTTACTCTTCCAAGGCAAATTTACTTGTGCTGTAATTTACCAGTGGCTGGCACTATGTCAGTATCACACAGATATTAGTGTTGATAGGTCCATTCTACCTTTCCACTTACTCATAGTTCAAGAAAAAAATTAACTGACCTCAACATTTACACAGTGTCATAAATGAATTTGTTCATTTGTTCCCAAGAAACTGATTTTCACTTATTTATTCAAAAAATATTTGAGAGGCTGGATGTGGTGACTCACACCTGTAGCACTTTGGGAGGCCGAGGCGGGTGGATTGCTTGAGCTCAGGAGATCGAGACCAACCCAGGCAACATAATGAGACCCTGTCTCTACAAAAAATACAAAAATTAGCAGGGGTGTAGTGGTGCATGCCTGTAATCCCAGCTACTCAGGAGGCTGAGGCGGGAGGCTCACTTGAGCCTGGAAGGAGGGGGTTGCAGTGAGCCTTGATCGTGCCACTGTACTCCAGCCTGGGCAACAGAGCCAGACCCTGTCTCAAAAAAATATATTATATATAATATATGAAAATATTTGTATATAATATATATAATATATATATTATATTTAAACATATATAATATATATATTATATTTAAACATATATATTTATATATTATATATACATATATATTTATATATTATATATACATATATATTTATATATTATATATACATATATATTTATATATTATATATACATACATATTTATATATTATATATATAATATATATTATATATACATATATTTATATATTATATATGTAATACATATATACTATATGTATAATGTATATATATAAAATGTATAATGTATATATATAAAATATAATATATATATTTATATATAATATATAAAATATATATGTAAATGTTTATATATAATATATAAAACATATATATGGAAATATTTATATATAATATATAAAACATATATATGTAAATATTTATATATAATATATAAAACATATATATGTAAATATTTATATATAATATATAAAACATATATATGTAAATATTTATATATAATATATAAAACATATATGTAAATATTTATATGTAATATATAAAATATATTATATATGTTAATATTTATATGTAATATATAAAATATATTATATATGTAAATATTTATATGTAATATATAAAATATATTATATATGTAAATATTTATATACTATATAAAATATATTGTATATAAATATGTACATATTTATATATAATATAAAAATAAATTGTATATAAATATGTACATATTTATATATCATATATAAAATATATTGTATATAAATATGTACATAATTATATATAATATATAAAATACATTATATACAATATATGTAAATATTATATAATATATGAAATATATTATGTATAATATATGTAAATATTATATAATATATAAAATATATTATATATAATATATGTAAATATTATATAATATATAAAATATATTTTATATAATATATGTAAATATTATATATAATATACAAAATATTTTATATAATATATGTAAATATTATATATAATATATGTAAATATTATATATAATATATGTAAATATTTTTATATAATATACAAAATATATTATATATAATATATGTAAATAATATATAAAAATATATAATATATGTAAATATTATATATAATATATAAAATATATTATACATAATATATGTAAATATTTATATATAATATATAAAATATATATAATATATGTAAATATTTATATATAATATATAAAATATATTATACATAATATATGTAAATATTTATATATAATATATAAAATATATTATATATAATATATGTAAATATTTCTATATAATTTATAAAATATATTATATATAATATATGTAAATATTTCTATATAATATATAAAATACATTATATATAATATATGTAAATATTTCTATATAATTTATAAAATATATTATATATAATATATGTAAATATTTATATATAATATATAAAATATGTTATGTATAATATATAAAATATATTATGTATAATATATAAAATATATTATATAATTATAATATATTTAATATATTATATATAAATATTTACATATATTATATATAATATATGTAAATATTTATATATAATATACAAATATCTGTTTGACTGCTTAATCAGTGTCAGGCACTATTCCAGGCAATGAGAATAGAGCATTGATCTAATGACATCAAATATTCTGTCCTCAAGGGGCATCCGTTCAAATAAAAATGCGTCATGATATTGTGTTTTAGAGGATGACAGGTGCTGTGGAGTTGGGAGACTGAGACTGTCAGGAGCGAGGAGGGATGGCTGTAATTTTAAATAGTGGCATCATCAGGATGAACCTTGCTGGTAAATCTCAGGACTCAAGGACCTCTGCTGAGTTCTGCAGCGTCCCCGACACGGGGAGCAGGAGAGAGAGTGGTCCATGGGCTGTTGTCAGCATTAAGAGCTGTTTATTGTTGTTGTCGGTTTTGTTTCAGATGTTCTTGTTCTTGGTTTATTTTGAAGCTTTATTGTATGTGTCATTAAAAGAGACAGAGAAAGAGAACTCAGTCTAAACTTTTCAACTGTTGTTCAATACTTTTTTTTTTTGGAGACAGTCTCGCTCTGTCTGTAGCCTAGGCTGGAGTGCAGTGGTGCAATCTTGGCTCACTGCAACCTCTGCCTCCCGGATTCAAGCGATTCTCATGCCTCAGCCTCCTGAGTAGCTGGGACTACAGGCATGCGCCATCACGCTCGGCTAATTTTTGTGTGTTTAGTAGAGACAGGGTTTTGCTGTGTTGGCCAGGCTGGTCTCGAATTCCTGGGCTCAAGTGATCCGCCTTCCTCGGTCTCCCAGACAGCTGGGATTACAGGCATGAGCCACTGAACACAGCCTTCAATACATATTTTTGATGACAGAAATATGTCTCAACTGGATTACCAAACTTTGCTTCTAAGACTAATGTTATTTGTTCACTCATTCATTTGTTAAATACTTATGGAACACCACCATATATCAAATATTAATGGCAGGCCACAGCTCATCCCTCAGCTGGGCACATATCAAACTACAAATGCTAAGACCTAGGCCAATTCAAAATTTCCCCAATACGGAGATTCTTTGACTTTCCATGGTTTGACTTCAGATTTTTCAACATTACAGTTTTGCAAAATGATACACATCCAGTAGAACCCGTACTGGGAGTATCCATACAACAATTCTGTTTTTCATTTTCAGTACAGTCTTCAATAAATTGCATGAGCTAGTCAACAATTTATTATAAATAAGCTTTGTGTTAGATTATGTTGCCCAACTGTAGGCTAATGTAAGTGTTCTGAGTACGGTTAAGGTAAGCTAAACTATACTGTTTAGTAGGTTACACGTATTCAGTACATTTCCAACTTACAATGAGTTTATCCAGCTATAATCCCATCCTAAGTTGAGAAGCATCTCTATATAGAAAACTTGGTAAGGGCCACCAGAACAATAACCTCAGGGTATTTGCCTCACATTTTCAGAACTAAGGTCATGCACCAAGGATAATTTAGTATTAGATATTTAGTAATTAGATACTATGATTAGATAAATATATAACAATGCAATTATTATTAATAATCTATCTAATTACTAAATATCTAATGATAATACAAGAGTCCAAGGGGACCACTAACATGTACATTTAGAATGCAGTTTCTAAAGAATCGATTCCCTGTGCCATTTCTGAAATTTGGGCAAGTGCAAACTCTTAAACAACTTTATTAAAATAAAAAATGCAGCATTGAAATTTGGGCAAGTGCAAACTCTTATAGCTTTAATAAAATAAAAAATTTGGCATTGACATAAACTTCATTTTTGTCGTTTCCAGAACTGAAGCCCCTTCCATGACACTAAAGTAAGAAGATAATTCTGGTCATTTCATCCAAGCCCTTCAGAGTAGGTTTTATTTTTCAGTCTTTAAGTTCAATGCTTGTAATAATGTACCAAAGCCTTCTGAAGAGAAATCAGCACATTATCACTTAAAGATATCTTCCAATGCTCTTTTCCTCTTTTTTTTCAATCTTTAAAGATCTCTCAGCTTGGGCATTTTATTTGTGCAATGTGGAAATATTTTTATCCAAAGGGGAAAAAGATGTTTTGTCTTGTTTTGTTAAGACATAATAATTGGCAACAGAGAGTAAATCTACCTATACTGACATCTAAATATGCTTTTTGCAGTTGGCAGGTGTTTGGTTCAAACATATATTCAGGACATGACTTATTTTGATATTTGAGGAGCCCTCTTCTCTCCATCCCCTCCGGAAAAAAAAAAAGGTAGATACAGGGAAAATGAGCTTTTCCCTTAAGATGAACAATTTTTGTCTCACTCATTAATTGTAAACCAGTGTCTTGGGTTCTAGAGTGAAAACAAGATTACTAAAACAGATAACATTTTATAATTCCTGATATAGTAGAAGTGGGCGGTGGGGGGAGTCCCCAGGGTAGACATTTAGAGGGAAGAAGGAGAAAAATCAGGAAATAATAGCTGAAAGGAAAAATTTCATTTCAATTAACTTGTAAAATACTCTTTATTTGGTGTGATTTTAGGTGGATTTTACAATCAATTACATTGAGTGAGACACTTAATAAGCACACTGCCGGCCTAAGCTACACACAGACTTTATTACTTGGTTGGTTAAACCTAAACAAATAGATTTATAATGGTTTGTGGACAATTCCCATGCAATAGCTATATTATTAAATCCAAGGCGTTATTAAAGGTTAATTATATTTAAAATTATTGAGATTTAACAATGATGTAATCTATGGAGAAGATATTTATCTTCTCCTGTTTGTACTATAATTACCAAACCTCAATGAATTTCTCTCTTTAATTCTGCCATTCTCCTTGCTAAATAGCCTATCTGATTGAATTCTACGCCTACAACCCAGGATGACTCTTTCTGCGTTAGACCTGGAAAGTCCTTCTTATCCACATCGCTTCTTCTCCATCTTTACTCAAGATCTTGTCAATACCTTCAAAGAGAAGGTTGGCACTTTATGGTGAGAGTTCTCACCCCTCCCTAGCTTCTCTCCTGACCAACCCATCACCTTCACTCCATTCCCTGTCGCTCCCTCAAAGCTGTGAACATCTAAAGCACTAGCTGTATAATTTTATACAATTTTATACAATTTCCATTGAGTGCCTTCTTTAGTGATCTCTGTTATCTTTTTTCCATGCCTCCTTTGTATTTTGCTGTTGGTATTATGCTGCCATTCCTAGCTTTCAGAAGCATTTTTTAAAATCCAATCCTAAATTTACCTTCCCTGGCTCCAATTCATATTTGCAATGTTTCGTCTTTCTTTGGGCTGTACAGACAAGCTCCAAAAATATATTGTGCCTTCATGACTTTCATTTTTCTCCCTTAAAATGGGATCTAGCCTCTACCCTCTGATGCTGAAATTAATATTTCATAATCAAGTCCTTGAGTTACATCTTCTCTTACTATATTTTCCTGCCTTGCAGTGTTGGCTGATATCTTCAGAGATCTATTTCTACATCTCTCTCAGCACTTCATCTTTTTGTGCCTTCTCTCCATTCCCATATAACAATTTTTATTGAACATCTACTACGTGTCAGGCACCGTTCTAGATTCTGAGGCTAGAGGGAAGGACAACATAGTCAGGGTCCCTACCCTTACAGAGCTAGCAAATGGGGAGAGACAGACAACACAAAACACATAAGTAAAATGTTAATAACAGTAAGTAAAATAGCAATAACAGTAAGTAAAGGGTGCAACACATTCCAAGAAGGAAATCGAACCGGGTCTTGTACTAGAAAGTGACCAGAGAGGAGGGAAGCTGCTCCAGATAGACTGTGCAGGGGCGACTTATCTGAGGAAGCGGCCTTTAAAGGCAAGACCCCGATAATGGGAAGGAGTCAGCCATGGGAACTGAAAGCCATGGGAGGCCCTGGAGGAAGAGTATCCCCAAAGTAAGAATGGTAAATTCCAAGTTCCTGTGGCAGGAACAAGCTTAGTGTATTCAAGGAACTAAAGCCAGTATTGCCAGAGTTGAGTGAGCCCCTGGAGGAAGGTGTGCTGTGAAAGCCAAGAGGTAGACAGTGCCAGGCGCGTGCCACCTACAGAGTTCAACGGCACTGCAGCTCTGCCTCTTTATGTTTATTGAGTTCAGCCTTCCCAAGCCTAAACAGGGTCCATCCCAGGTTCAAAGCTGAGTATTTCCAAACTTCAATAAACACATCGCATGTGATATCCAATTCCAGAAAATGAAAATCAAGGCATATTCTTTTTCCTGACATCCACCAACCACTGGAGCAAAACGTCAGTGTCCTTCTCTAGCAGGCACTCATCTGTCTTAGTGTCACAGATGAAAAGCATGGCACCGAGAAGCTGGTCCTTCCATCTCCTCGACCTCAGGGCTTTCAACTGTGTCAGTTTAGTCACCCACCGATATAGGCACAGCTTGGGTCTCTGTCGTCTGAAACCATCCCACTTCCAAGAGACTGATCTCAGAGCACCCCACGTGGAACCAAATCTCCTTCTCTTCCATCCCTTCTTCTGCCTCATAGTCATTGCACCTGCTCTCTGTTCCCTTGGGCTGGTCCCAACTCCTTTGTTTCCTTTTTTTTTTTTAATGAAATTTTGCTCTTGTTGCCCAGACTGGAGTGCAATGGCGCAATCTCGGCTCACTGCAACTTCTGCCTCCTAGGTTCAAGCGATTCTTCTCCCTCAGCCTCCCGAGCAGCTGGGATTACAGGCATGCGCCACCAGGCCTGGCTAATTTTTGTATTCTTAGTAGAGACAGCATATCTCCATGTTGGCAAGGCTGGTCTCGAACTCCCAGCCTCAGGTGATCCAACTGCCTCGGCCTTCCAAAGTGTTGGGATTACAGGCGTGAGCCTTTCTCCCTTTTCTATCATACACCAGTTGTCTCTGGCTGTACTTGTCTGCCCCACTGGCCAGAAAGCTGCTGTCAGCCACAGCTAAGCCTGGAGTTCCTTGCTCCCTTGACTCAACCAAGGCCTCCAAGCCAACCTCCAATTCTTAGTTATCCCACTACCAATTTCTTCAGTCACATGTGCATCTCAAGCCACAAAATTATACTAAAGAAATCTCAGCATGAAGCTCCCGAGCACTGGCTCCGTACATTTTATGTTTGATGAAGGTCTCACTGTTCTTCAGCAAGTCCCCCACAACCAATCTCTTCTAGACTTCCTGTCTTACTCTCACAGACGGACTTTCCTAGCCTTTGCTACTCTCCCTAAATCCCATTTCCTAGCTCAGCTCCACCACATTTTAAAGAATGACTATGCCTCTAACTCGACCTTGGCCGTTTCCCCTCAAAACATCTCTGGCTTCATCTAGATCCTCTCCTCAGTCTAATTTCAGAGGGCTCAGAGTGGGTGGTGGTGTCATTTTTAACTTTTTCTGGCGTGTTGTTATTTATTTAATTATTGCAAAGAACTTCAAGGAGACTGTTCTGTCTTGGCAGTGCCATTAACTTGTTTTTATAACATATTCTCTTTTTTTACTGGTCTGAATTTTATATATATATATATATATATATACACACACACACATACATATATACATATGTATGTGTGTATATACACATAATTTATATATATATATTTATATATTTATATAAAAATTTATATATATTTATATATACTCATGCATATACATATATACATGTATGTGTGTATATATGTATATAATTTCAATATTTATTTTAAATTCAAGGAGTACACATGCAGCTTTGTTATATGGGTTTATTGTATGATGGTGAGCTTTGGGCTATGAATGATTCCACCACCCAGGCAGTGAGCATAGTACCCAGTAGGTAGCTTTTCAGCTTCTGCTGCCTTCCCTCCCTCTCTCCCCGCTCTAGTAGTCTAGTTGTTCCCATCTTTACGTCCATGAGTACCCAATGTTTAGCTCCCACTTATAAGTGAGAACATGTGGTATTTGGTTTTCTGTTCTTGTGTTAATTTGCCTTGGATAATGGCTAAGCTGCATCCATGTTGCTGCAAAGGACATTTCATTCTTCTTTATGGTTGCATAGTATTCCGTGGTGTATATGTACCACATTTTCTTTCTCCAATCCACTGCTGATGGGCACCTGGGTGGATTCCATGTCTCTGCTATTGTGAATAGTGTTGTGATGAACATATGAGTGTCTTTTCAGCAGAACGATTTATTTTCCTTGGGGTATACACCCAGGAATGGGATTGCTGGGTTGAATTGTAGTTGTATTTAAAGTTCTTTGAGAAATTTCCACAGTGCTTTCCACACTGGCTGATCTAACTTCCACTCCCACCAGCAGTGTGTAAGTGCTCCCTTTTCTCTGAAGCCTCGGGCTTAATGTTTTCCAGAAGGTGAGGACTGTGTGTATTTTCTGAATGAGTGAGTCATCTCATCCTTTCTCCACGCAGGCTTGCCCTCACATCCTCGCCAAGACTTAATTCCATCAATACACCCTCTTCTCTCTCTTCTGTCTCATTCACTCCTTCTCTACTCGCTTTTTAATCTATGAAAATGATAAGCTTATTAATATGCACACATTTCCTTCAAAACAGCTTTCTGCTGCAACAATTATGAACCCCTGAACTCTTCCGTCACGTACTGTTCTTTGATGCCCGTCTTCCTGACATGCTCCACTCTTGCTCCCATTGATTCCCTCTTTAACACCACCAGGCCAGCCTCTGCCTTCTAACCTGCAGAAATTTCCCACCCAGTGACCATCTAATGAATAAGCCCTAAAGCCCTGTCTTACTTCTCATCCTTCACAGCTTCCTCGTGGAGTGGGTAACTGTGGAAAGGCTCTGTGGAATTTCAGGGGAGTGGGAAAGAAAGCATGGGATTTAGAGGCAAAACCAGCTCAAATTTGAGTTCCAGCTCTGCTGCTTCATAGACGTGTGATCTTGGCAAAGTCAGTTTCACATCCCCGAGTTTCAGCTTCCTCTCCCATCAACTGTAGGCATCAATACCCGCTTAGGCAGGTTGTTATGGGATGAAAAATAGCATGCGGGAAGCTCCTGGTGAATTCACAGGAGCTACTAGGGTTGCTACAGAAGCCCTTCCTGCCTGATTTGCCAGCAGCTGGTTTCTTCCGTGATTTCCTAAGCAAGCATTTCTAGGTCATCTACTATCTGCCAGGCATTACGTGAGGCTTCTGATCCTTGTGCCCTCCCAGCACTCGGAGATTCTGCACGATTCTTTGTCCTTCCCTATTTCCTCACAGCCTTCTTTCCCTCTCCCATTTCCCAGTGTGCATGTCCTCATCTATTTACCAATATCAAAATTCATACAGAACCCAAATTTTGTAATATAAACTTGAACATCAATACCAAAAGTATCGAAAGAAATACACGAAAATGTTACCATACGTAAATCCTAGTACTGGTCTATGGGTGACTTTTATTTTTTTCTTCATACTTTCCAATGTTTTCTGGGTTTCCTGTCATGCACACTGCTTGTATAATCATAAAATAATGCACATTTTTAAAAGCACACAGAAGATACAAAACTATATGTACATCCAACACTTTGGCACTTCTCATCTGCGGATTTACCGTCTTCACTCTTAAATAACTGAGTGATCTTTCTCTGCAGTTGATTTTCCTTGTGATTCTTCTGGAACTCCGAGGCAACCTGTTTTCCCAAGAACAGGGCACCGAGGTGGTCGCAAGGGTGCGGAGGGAGGATCGCCCCTGTGGGAGAGGCGCGCCGGTCTCTCTCAGGGACCTGTAGCTACACGCAGAAGATGCTGCCAATTGCGCGGAGGTCTCTGACGCTTGGTGCTGAGGACATTGTACTAATTTAAATGGTATCAGAGTGAACACGATGCTACATGTAGAATGAAACTTCCCAAGCCCTCACCTGAAGAGACAAGGCTGAAGTCATAAACATCATACGTGGTTTGTAAATGTATGATTTTGCTTTTAAGCAAAACCTGTGATCGGTTCCAGGGGCCTGGGTCTGGATCTGGTGCAGAATATCTAACCTTTCCAGCAGGCAAAAGCAGAGAAGAGGGGATCGCCATGCATTGGAAATTACTTCCCATTCATGTCATCCAAATCCTCACACACCAAAAAAAATTCCATATTTTTTCAGTAAGATAGAGTGAGCAAGGAAGCAGGAAAAAAAGAGAGATGTGAACTCCTGCCAAAAGTCCAGGGTCCCTGTAAAACATAAAATCCCCAAAGTATGCCAGTTCAGCCACAGCACATCTGGGAATTGTTTGTAGGATAATGACAGTAATAATTATGATGACTTACACTTAATTCACCCTCACAGGGGCGTTGTGAAGATTAATGAGTCAATGTTCATAATATGTTTTTGGTTCCTCGATGAAAGCTCCCGTGAAAGCCCAGATTATTATTATGGTTATTATTGTTTATATTAGACTGTTCCTGTGGAAGGGCCCCCTTCGCGACCTGTCTACTACACTCCCATCATGAAGTTCAGCCACTTCTCTAATGAACAGACCACTGGCTCTAGGAGCCGTCACAGCGGGCGGGACTCCCCCACTTTAAGAAAGCAAAACACAGAAAGAACTGGCAGAATCACTGCCCACAGCAGCCCATGTCCCCACTGTGTCCATAAAACTTGGTTCCCTCCTCCAGCTGAACCATAAGGATGCAAGGAAGAAGGTAGGCAGTGTCAAATGGAAAGTATATTGACAGTGTAAATATCTTCCAAAATAGAGTGTCTGCCCACAAATCCACAGATACGGTCAGAAAATAGGTAGAGAAAGCGCTCAGCTAAATTATAAACGAGGCTTATAGAAGAGCTTTGAATAGTTCAAAATGAAAGACACATAAAGATAATAGATCCGTGGATTGCTATTTAACATTCATTGATTCATTTTGTTTTGTTTTGTTTTGTTTTAGGAAAAGTATTGCAAACCTGCTTCTCTTCTGTGCTGGGGTCTGTACCAATGTTCATTGAACCAAACAAGGTCCCTATCTTACAGAAGATGCTTCTTGAAGGATGGCGTGTTAATCTTCTAAGTATGTTCTGGTTGCGAGGATAGAGCACTGTCACAGCTACAGCTATACCTGTGCAAAGCCAGGAATAACACGCTCCCTAGGAGAGTCTCTAGCCTTAATCTGTAGCTGCAAATAGAAATGACAATTCATTTTCTCAATAATGAAATGTTTTTGGGTAGGGCTAAAAGCAGAATGAACCACCAAAAAGCCCCTTTTGACATGGTGCCTGTGTAAAGACAAACGTGTGTAATGTGTCTGCTTCTTTTAAGGTGCTCAACAAGACCAGGCATGGTGGCTCACGCCTGTAATCCCAGTGCTTTGGGAGGCCAAGGCGGGAGGATCGCTCGAGCCCAGGACTTCAAGACTAGCCTGGACAACATAGCGAGACCCTGTCTGTACAAGAAATTTGAAAATTAGCCTGGTGTATGCTTGTAGTCCCAGCTACTTGGGAGGCTAGTGTGGGAGGATCACTTGAGTCCAGGAAGTTGAGGCTGCAGTGAGCAGTGATCATGCCACATGCACATCAGCCTAGGGGACACAGCAATACCCTCTCTCAAAAAAAAAAAAAAAAAGATGCTCGATAATACATAAATGAACCCAATCACCCCAGAAGAAAAAAAGAAAGTGGAAAACAAAGACTTCCTTCTTCCCTCTGCTCTAGTTATTCATTTATCTCAAATTAAAACTCCCATTCGGTCCTACACCTTAGTTCTAGAGAGTCATGGGATTGTTGGGGATGAAAGAGTTTGGAGAACATCAAGGCCCTGTCTCTGCCTGTCTGTGGCAGAGGCTGCTGGCTGCCTACCCAAGAGCCATTCTCCCTTCTTCCACAGGAACAGAATCTTAATCTTAGCTGAGCACTTTATCACCAGGAAGTAGGTGCACACTTCTCAGTCTCTTTTGCAGCTAGATGTGGTCAAGTAACTCGGTCCCGGCCCAGGAGAGGCTAGCAGGAAAGTGCTGTGGGCACTAACTTAGCTGGCAGGTGCACCCTCATCCTCCTCACTTCTACTTGTATGCCACCTGGCAATCTGATGTGACAGCAGGAACTGCAGGCACTAGGAAGGACCATGAGTTAGCCCTGAGGATGGGAGGCAGGAAAACACCCTCCGATTCCTTGCAAAGATGCCCACACCCAAATCCCTGCAACCTGTAAGTCACACTATGCAGCAAAGAGAAGTCAAGTTTGCAGATGGAATAAATGTTACTAATCAGCCGACCTGAAGATTGGGAGATGACCATGGATTATCCAGGTGAGCCCAAATTGATCACAAGAGTCCTTAAAAAGGGAAGAGTGAGACGGAAAAAAAACCCAGAGAGATGGCAGAGTGAGAAGGACCCCACATGGCTGGCTATGAAGATGGAGAAATGGAGCCACAAGCCAAGGAGTGCAGGCAGCCCTAGAAGCTGCAAAAGGCAAGGAAATGGAAAAGGAAGGCAGAGCCATCAATTGCAGCCCCACAAGAACCATTTCAGAGTCCTGAATTCAGGAACTGGACCACCAGTAAATTTCTGTTGTCTTAGTCCAGTAAATATGTGGTCCTTTGCTATAGCAGTGATAGAAAGCTGCAACACCAGTGCTGAGGTTGGCAGAGCAGAAAGACAAAAGGAGCGTGGGTCCCTGACAATGCGGGAGCTGCCAGACTAGCAGCCCTGGATCACCCAACTCTAGGCTTCTCCTGTGTGAGAGAATAATGCCTGCAGTGTTTAAGATACTGTTATTTGGGGTTTTCTTTTATATGCAACAAAAACACAACTCCTAACTGATGCACAATATTTTAGAGCTATATATGAAAGATAGATAAGAAACTGAGACCCCTAACTGTTGAGTGAGACTGGGCACAGTGGCTCACACCTGTAATCCCAGCACTTTGGGAGGCCAAGGCAAACGGATCGCTTGAGCTGAGGAATTTGGGACCAACCTGGGCAACATGGTGAAACCCCATCTCTATCAAAAATATAAAAAATTAGATGGGTGCGGTGGTGTATGCCTTTCAATCCCAGCTACTCTAGAGGCTACGGTGAGAGGATCTCTTGAACCCAGGAGGTCAAGGATGCAGTAAGCCAAGACTGTGCCACTGCACTGCAGCCTAGGGGACGGAGAAAAAAAGGTTAAGTGATATCTTTCATTCCATTCAACTATTTATTTGGAATGTGAAGTAGAATCCAAGTCTCTGCACCCCTGTTGATGATCTGCCCAGTGGTATACAACAGGGGTTCTCAAGCTTTAGCCTGCACTAGAATCGTCAGGAGGGCTTATGAAAACAGACTGCTGGGCTCTAGTGCTTCTGAGTCAGCAGGTCTGGAAGGGCTCAAGGGATGAAAACACTCTGAAAACACCAGTCTACACTATTGTTGGCCCAACTTCTGATAACTACTTGTCTTCCATTCCCAGATCTGTAACCAAAATCCAGCCTTCATGACCACATAACTTGGAATATCACAGCAGCATCCTAGCCAGCCACCTTGTCTCCAGTCCTGGTTACTGATTTCCCCTGGCCACCCTCTCACCTAATCAGTTTTGCTTTCATGGTGTCATATTTCTGTCCCAAAGTCATAAGAGCTTCCTACTGTTTGTTAAATTAACTCCAAGTCCCTCTGCAGAACATTCAGGCTCTCCACATGTATGCTTTTCTTTTTCCCCTCTTACTGCAAGCCACCACTCCTAGAGTCATCCCCATAAAGAGGAACCAAAGATGTTTTCCTTTTATAACTAAGAAGACTAAGAGCACCCAGAGAGGCTTGATCAGGTCAAAGCCTTTGGCAGATCCAGGCTGGGAACCAATGACCTCTCCAGTCCTCCGTATGCTTGCCAGGACAGTCAAACTCCCTCCCTCAGAAAGCCAGGAACCAGGTCCCTTGCAAGCAGCTCATGGCAGGTTCTGGTTAAGGGAGACGGTGGCGACTCCATGGAAACTCAGAATGAGGTGAGAACATCATGTGCATTTCAACTAATTACTCCAGAAAGGGATGGCAGCCAGGAGGGCCTGGGATTGTTTGTGTGCTGTTATTTGGAATTTTGAAAGACAGGGCAAACTTAGAGGAAATTGGCAGCAATTTCACCCACCTTCAGACAGAATGGCATTCTGTCCCTCCCTAAGCAGCCTGGCAGTTGTGTGGCTGCTGGGCAGCTGTGCTTGTCTTTGTGTGCAAAGAACTGGAGGCCTGGAGCCCAGGAGAGGCTACCTCTCACTAAGGGAGGCAGCTTTAAACTCCCAGAAGGAAGGAAGATTCCACACAGGGCAAAAGGAGTGCTAAATGATCTACCATGTCTGAGCCTGATATATTTTAGGGTCTTTGTTGGTTCCTCTCATCGAAATCAGTCTACAAATAAACACATTATTAGGCCTTTGCCAGATACCTGCACCACTGGGAGCTGTTCTTTAAGAAGGAAAGCTTTTCATCTGCTTACACTGCCTCTTTCTCTTGCTCTATTAAAACAAAAAAAAAATTATTCTATGTCTTTGTCCTCAATCTAGTCTGCTTTCTTCCATTTTTCCTTCCCATTATTTATGCATGTAAATGCTTCCTCATTCTAAAAATGATCTGCTGCAGCTTGGCGTTTCATCCAACCACTGTCTCTTACAGCATCCTGGAGAGAACTGTCCTAGGCTTTCGGTGCTTCCACACATGCAAAACCATAGCATTTCCTTCTGCATGTCCAGGAGGCTGTGCCCTTGATTAATGTCTTCCAACCATTACTTATTGAGTCTCCTATCATTTGTGGATAGCTCTGTCCATCTCTGTCAGAGATCAATCCATGTTTCTCACTAATACCTCCAAGAGCATCCTTTGAACAGCTTCTTGTTAAGGCGAAAAAAAAAAAAATCCTCCCAAAAGGAGCTGTAAGAAATGGCCAGGCTGATAGAGAGAGATTTTCTTCCCATGTTCCTTCTTTAATGACCTTATCAGAATGGTATGGAGAAAAGAGACATGACTGAAAAGTTCAATAGAAATTCAAGCATAGAAAACATTGTATTTCTATTGAGTTGTCTGTCCCTCATGCTCACTGGGGTTTCTTGCCCCTAAACCCTCCATTTCTCCCTTTCTTCACCCAGATACTAGTATTTTTACTTTCTCAGAGTGACTAAGCTTTGTACAATTTGAGTGGGTGGGAGCTGCAACCCTTGCCTTGAGTCATTTTCGTGAACTTTATATTCTCCTACCTGGATTTAATTGTGGGAAGATTACTGGTAGATCTCCATTCAAAAAAAAAGAAGAAAGGAAGAAAGGAAGAAAGAAAGACAGAAAGAAAGAAAGAAAGAAAGAAAGAAGAAAGGAAGGAAGGAAAGAAGAAAGAAACAGAAAGAAAGAAAGAAAGAAAGAAAGAAAGAAAGAAAGAAAGAAAGAAAGAAAGAAAGAAAGAAAGAGAGAGAAAGAAGGAAGGAAAGGAAGGGAGGAGGAGGGGGTAAAGAGAGAGAAACAGTTCTAAACAAGAAAACATACTCTCACCGAGAACTGAAAGGCAGGTACACCCATTACAGCAGTTCTCAGAGAACGCTTCAGCTCTGTAGGTGCGGGGTAGCAAACCCTGAGAGTGATGGTAATTATCACATGGTGATTTAGATTTTCTTTGTATAGGGTGCTGCAGCAAAGAGGGGAGAGGGAAGATGGTTTGTAAATGAAATGGGGTTGGGGGGGTGGAAATTCCAGGTGAATTTCAAGCACCTGGCAAACAGGCGTCTCTTCTCAGTGTTTCCTTGTTTTGGCCTCAGATAGGGAAGCCGTCATCTCCCTGGCTCTTTCATGGAATTCTGTGTGGTCCTGATTTTACTCAATTAGCCTCTCCCCTTCTGCATTTCATCATGTGTATATGGGTAGAGGCTCAACTTCAAAGAGGTCCAGGGTCTAATTAATGTTCTTAAGGTGCCTCAAGATTCTTGGATGGAAAAAAATAAAACCACCACCTGTATGCATAATCTGAGACTCCATGACAGCAGGTGGAAATTATTACTATTAAATGTGACTCCCTCTCAGCCTATGTGGCAAACTCCTCATGTGGGGCATGAGAAACGTCAAGTTGCTAAGAGTTAGTTTCCTCTGTGACTAGTCATTATTGCTCTCTGTCTCACTCACTCACTTGCTCACTCTCTTTCTTTCTTTTTCTCTCTCCATATACATATACACACACACACACATATATATACTCTCATATATATATACTCTCATATATATATACTCTCATATATATCTGTATATATATACTCTCATATATATCTGTATATATATACTCTCATATATATATGTATATATATATACTCTCATATATATATGTATATATATATATACTCTCATATATATACATATATTTACTTGTGAGCAAATGATCAGGCTATATTAGAAGACAATATAGTCAACAAATAATGAAATCTGAGAATGAGATAATAAAGTGTCATGAAACTAATGGCTTTAGGACATAAAAAGCCACCTCTGCAAACATCCAACTCCTATCCCTCCTGAGAGCCACAGCCCTGGCCTGCCTTCTCTAGCCCCTGTATCAGTGGATCTACCCAGGGCTGGAATGATACTGAAACTCAGGGAGAGCACTGATGTAGTGGTGCTTCTGAGATCAGGGAAGTAACCCTTTATTGTAAGTTCTTAAAATAATCACTCAAAACCTTTACTGATCCCCATCATCTTTCCCATAGTCAGTTCACAAAGAATCAACTAAATGCAACCCGAAAGCTCTTTTAAGCCTCCCAAATGTCATTCATCTTGAGTAAATGGACAGGAGTACCATATTTACAAAATTATTTTGATGTGATCTCAAGAAAGATTTTGCAGAATTCCTTCATAACATTCTCAAGCTGGAAAACAGCTTGGTGAGGCCAAAACCTACATGCATTTATTCGTTGATTTAACACATATTTATGGAGTTCCCTATAAGTGACAAGCACTGTGCTTGTCCCTGGCTTCAAGGAACTTGGAGACATGAGGTTGAGGCCAACAGGTAACCACCATATTGTAAGTGCTGAGGATGGCCGCATAAACTATTTGCACAGTAGGAGGGATAAGAATGTCTTTAGGTCTTATCTTACAGAGATATTTTTGGTCAGGGATTTATAAATAACAAAGCGGCATGAGGAGGAAAATAGTTCAATGAAATTAAGTTGGGTTGATGCTATCTGTTCTTTATAAGGTACATGCCTTTGCTGGATGTCTTAGGACCTTTTTTTTTTATTTAACTCTATCCATAACCTCCAATCCACCTTATAGACAAAATCTCCTTAATCTCTGTTATTCCTTGTTTTCTTGCTGCTCTTCTATTTTCCGCACAAGGGGTGTTGGAACTCACAGAAATAATCTCCTGAGTACTGAAGACAGACACATTCAGTTAATAGGGTTCTCCAGAAAACCAAAACCAATAGTATATGTATAATATACTATAATTCATATAGGAGTGTAAAAAGATTTATTATAAGGAATTTGCTCCCATGATTACGGAGGCTGGCAAGTCTGAAAGCTGCAGCATACAGCACAGGCTGGAGACCCAGGAGAGCCAAAGCTCCAATTCCAGTCCAAAGGCTGGCAGGCTGCAGACCCAAGAAAGCCCAGGTTCCAGTTCAAGTTCAAAGGCCATCTGCTGGAGAATCCTCTCTGGCTTGGGAAACGGTCAGTTTATTGTTCTATTCAGGCCTTCAACTGATTGGACAGTGCCTCCCCACACTAGGGATGGCAGCCTGCTTTACTTAAAGTCCAATTTAAATATTAATCCCATCCAAAAATACCCTCACAGAAAACACCCAGAATAATGTTTGACCAAATATCTGGGCATCTCGTGGCCCAGCCAAGTTAACATAAAATTAGCTATCACAGGTAAAAAGCTCCTACCCTAACACAATGTTTAGATTCCTTGTAACATCTTTTTTCATAAGTGTATTTGAAAATATCTCTCTCCATTTCATCTCCATTTCATGAAGTTATGGAGAAAATATCAGATACATGATGAGTGAACAACTTAAGTCACTTGATATCAGCCTTATTCTACCTGGTACCATATTCAGTGTATTGTTGTATCACTTAAATGTATTTTGTAAATGCCAAAGATGTTAGATCCAAAACTGTTTCCAAAATCTATAACCTTACTTTGATGTTGCAATTTTTTTTAAAATAGTGAAATCTTTTAAATATATAAAAGCAATAGATTCCCCCAAATTCCACCCAATTTTTGATTCTGAAGTCAAGAAAATGCCAGTGGCTGAAAAAGCCAATGGCCTGTTCATAACTTGGTGCTCCCTGTGGAACAGGGAAGGAAATAGAAGGCAGGTTGGGGACATTCTTTGCTGTCCAGACAGTGAGTTGGCTTTGTGAAAAAGCAGGACACCGCTACCAGAAAGCTGCATCCCATACACTCAATCCCCAAATTTGACCCTTTTAATATGAGAGATTAAACTGTAGTGATTTTTACTGACTCCCCAGCCATGAATCATACTGTGATTTGGACTTCAGATGAAACTACACATCATGATCATTAACTGCAGAGTACAGACTTTCAGCAGTGTGTCAATAGGTATTCCACAAATATTTGTCAAATAAGTTACACTTTGTATTTCAACAGATAGTTTAAAAATGAATAACTATAATGCAGTTGTTTGTTAATCCATTTAATTTATATATATATATATACACACAGCTGTATATGTATATACATATATATAATTATATATCTCAACGGAGTTTTGTATATAATAATTACTCCTATGTAATATATGCTAACACAATGTTTAGATTCCCTGTAACATCTTTTTTTGTAAGTGTATTTGTGAATATCCTTCTCTTTTTCATAAAGTTATAGAGAAAATGTCAGATACCTGATAAGTCAACTATTTAAATTACCTGTTATCAGCCTTATTCTACCTGCTACCATATTCAATGTATTGTCATATGATTTAAATGTATTTTTAAATGCCAAAAATGTTAGATCAAAAACTGTTGCCAAAATCTATAACAATATGTAGATGCTGCAATTTTTTTACTCAGCTGTATACATACAGCTGAGCAATTATTATGTACTAAGCTACATTGAGATACATTATTACACATGTATATATGTACACAGCTGTATATGTATATATGTATATTTATATATGTAATGCATTATATTACATATATGTAATAAGTATTACATACATAGATGTAATATATGTATTATGTAATTATTTTTCCTCTCAACAAAACTTTGACCTGAGAATGATTTAATATCAGAGTTGGCCATCATAAACACATTCAACAGTACACTTACTTACAGCTACATGGCGTCTCTCCCTGGTTAATAACTTCATATTCTGCAGTCAATAAGAAGCCCTTTCCCAGCCACATAAAGAGCCAACATTCACAGGATCCCAGTCTTTACAATCAGAGAGTAAAGCCCAGCAGGAAAACATTCTCACATGGTACAGAAGCTGACATCCCAAATGATCCAAGGACATTCTCATAGCAGGTTGATGTTTGTAATGGGAGGTGTTGCATGCACACCTACTCATGTACTTCTAGTACTGTGAATTTTTTTTTTTTTAGAAACGAGACCTAAAAACATAAAATCTTGAGCTGGAAGTGTTACTTACAACAGCCTCATTACACAGATGAGGAAACAGAGACCAAAGTAACCTGCCCAAAATGGCACAGTGAGGAACTAGTGAAGCCAGAACTATGTTCTAGATTTCCTTATTCCTTCACGTCTATCATACTCCTAAGTGGAACAGGAGATAGGGATGCCAACACCCTAATGGTGAGCATTAGTAAATACTACTTGAATTGTATAAAACTAATTTACAATGGAATTGCTTTTATATGAACAGATACAATGCACATGAAAAATCATAGTCTCCTAAAAGAAATTGGGAATGTTGGAGCTGGTTGGTGAAAATCATGCAATGAACTGTCAGATGATAGGAAATATGTAAGAACCCTGGGAGAAACATAATCCCCTAAAAAGCTTTAACTCCTTGAAGACAGGAATTATGTGTGATTCATTTTTATCCAGGGTTTAGCAATGCCTGACAGTAGACACTTAAAAAAGCTCTGTGTGCTGAATGAGTGAACCTTTCACTCTATGTCAGTCTTCAAAACAACACCGAATAGGAGTAATAATCATATGAATATGTCATAGACCCTCAACAAAGCTCTTCCCTGAAGGTTTCAGTATTTACAAAAACGAAGGGGAGTTGCTGGCATTTATTCTTTGAATGATAACGCCAGACCACACCTTGTTGATTTGAAAGTTGATGGCCTTATTAAGAAAGAAATAGAATGTCTTAAACTAGGCAAGGTAACTTCTCTCTTTCTTTCAGATCGGCTTTAAAATTCACATTTGCCTACCACTGACATAACCATTTATCTTGTCATGAGTTTCATGAGCACGTGACTTTTCATTTTCTTGCTCAAAATTTATCTTTTCTTAAATGACAGAAAGTGAAGGTGAGAGAGAGAGAGTCAAATTAACCAACTTCAAATAAAACATCGAGGTCGATTTACATTTCTGGGCATTAAGGACTACTGTTCAGAGAATCTTGGGAGTTTGGCCCAAATTAACATAAAACAAGTAGAAGAAGTCAGCTAGCTCATGGAGCCAAGCCACCCAATGTGCAGTGCAAGGCTCAAGGGAGCTGTCTGAAGCTTCAAGGGAGTTCTTAAAGAAAATGTGCTACTGTTATAAATTATATTAGGACCCTGGGTTGTCCATGACATGACCCCTTAAGACCTATTAGATATTTGGCAACATGAGCTGATGTAAACAAAAAAAAAAGGTGACATTGTGATTAAAAATCAAGATTTGAAAGACATTTAATGTTACGGAAGAACTTTATGATCCCAATTATGTAAAAACTAAGTGTTTATATATTGTGTTCTAGTTATCTAATACCACATAGCAAACTTCTCCAACATGTGGTGGGTCAACACAACAAATTTATTTTGCTCATGAAACCATAATTTGGTCAGGGCTCAGAGGAAACAACCAACCTCTTCTCCACTCAATGCCAGCTGGGGCAGTTCAAAGGCTGGGCCTGGAATCATCTGAAGTCTCACCCAGTCAGAAGCTGGGTGGTGGATGCTGGCGGTTGACTAGGAGTCTCGGTTCCTGTCCATGTGGGTCTCTCCATGCAGTTGTTTTGTAAAGATTAGCTTGGGGTTCCTCACAACATGGTGGCCATAATGAATGACATGCATTCAAGAGAGAGAAAGCCAGGAAGGAGCTGATGTATTTTCTAATCTAACCTCATAAGTCACACAGCATCACTTCTACCAGAGTCCCAGGCATGCCCAGTTTCAAGGGGAGGAAGCAGAGATTTGTCATTGGATGAGTGTTAAAGTCATCTTGTAAAAAGAGCATGTAGGATGGGATATATATTGATGGGCCATCTTTGGATCATACTCTGTCACACATAGAAAAAGATACCAAAGATACTGATGTAAACATAACGTAATGTTAACAATGATTCTCCTTGAGTGCTATAATAATGGGCTGCCTTTATTTTCTTCCCAACTATTGTCCAAAATTTCAATGATCAGCATATTTTACTCTCATAATCATTTATCTACAGCATATCTGGTGGGAGTGGGGAATGGGATGGAAATGCAATAACTTTTCCTATAATACAAGTACATTTCAGTTCCCCAAGACTCCCTCACTCAGGAGTGTATGTCATTTGTTGTGGGCACTCCAAGCTAGCATTCTCGAAGGAATGCCTCATATAAAGAATATGTGGTGCCCAAAAACCCCCAGAAAAAAAGGCTCCATGATTCAACATGTTTGAGAGTCTTTAATACTAGATCTTATCTCTGAGGGAGACAATATGCATGTGAGCATTTTAAAGGCCCTGAAATAGGCTGCTATTAAGGCACTATTATCCCATTTGACATTTGAGCCCCAATCTTGTAGCAACTATCAGCCAAAACCACTTTGGGAGTGTACTCCTCTGGCCAGGGTTTCTCAATCTCAGCACCATTGACATTCTGGTCTGGGTAATTTTTTGTTGTAGAGAACTGCCCTGTGTATCCCTGGCTTCTATACCCACTAGACACCAGTAGCAGTCCCCCTTCCACCCCAGGTGTGAAAAACAAAATGTCTCCAGACATTACCAAATGTTCCCCAGGGGACAAAATCTCCCCTAGTTGAGAACCACTGCTATAAACTTATAAAAAGCAAAAACTCCATAGTTATTAGCTTTTCAATTATGTTTAAAAAGTAAAAAAAAAAAAAAATAAAGTATTTTTCAGATCATTTAAGAGATGGAGTAAAGTCTGTTATGCACATGATGACTAGATAAATGGCTTCAGGCATGATCTCCAGAACCAAGCACATTCGCTGACTCTACAGATCTCTTCTATCAGGAAGCTACCAAGAACTAAGCCAAGAATACTTTCTTCTGTAGTTCTATTTTCAAAAAACACCTACAGTCACACCATGCAAATCTAGCCAGTCCTGCAGAGTTTACTCCAAATAAGCAGAAAGTTTGATTAATAGAATTTTTAAAGAAATAAAGGCTATCAATGTAAAAAAAAAAACTGAGATTGCTGCAAGATTAAGGAGGTTTTGCCAAATAGATACAAAGAGATCTGCTTTAATAGGGATATATGTGATCAGCAAATGCATTGCTTACATGTAAATAAGGCCTGCACTTAAAAATAGTTGATCTAGCTAATAATCTAACTTACAGAGAAATGTGTTTAAGTTCATTTAAATTTATATCCAAATTGGTGAAAACCATG
Source organism: Homo sapiens (assembly GCF_000001405.40). NCBI lineage: Eukaryota > Metazoa > Chordata > Mammalia > Primates > Hominidae > Homo > Homo sapiens. The sequence continues at coordinate 8,247,862 of NC_000010.11, read as the reverse complement.
AATCTATAATTGCCAAATCTTCAATCTACTGGATTTAAGGGGTACAAGTGCAGTTTTGTTACAAGATACATTGTGTAGCAGTAAAGCCTGAGCTTTCAGTGTAACCATCACCCAAATAATATACATTATACCTGACACGTTCTCCATGTTTCATAGACCCTTCAGATATTATGAAAACACCAAAGTTCTCTAAATTTAAACAAAATAGGCAAAAAAAAAAACTAATAAAGGAAAAAGCAAGATAGCAAAAGACTAGAAAGAAGTTGAGAAAGGAGGAATTTTAAAATGGGGAGCATTGGATCATGTGGCTGGCTTTCTTCCATAGCCAGCCTCTCAGTGGCCCCCAGGGACCCCTGCTGCTTGGTATTCATACCCTTGGGTATTCCCCTCCCATGGAGTGCACACTGGACTTGTGGCTTGCTTATGTGTGGCACAAATGGTGGAACATCACTTCTGAGGTTAGGTTACAGAATGACATGCTCCTCCTATCTCACTCGCTTCCTCTTTCTAAGGGAACAGCTGACCCATTGAGCAGCTCTAGGGAGAGACCCTGGTTGTAAGGAACTGAAGGGGGCCCCATCGTCAACCAATAGGGACCTGAGACCTGCAGTCCAACATCCCACAAGGAACAGAAGCCTCCCAGGAACCATGAGGATAAACCTGGACCCTTCTCCACTTGAGCCTTTGGATGATACCACAGCCCTGATCAAGAGTTTTACTGCAAGCACATGGGAGCATTTGAGCCAGAGCTTCTCCTGGACTTGTCACCCACAGAAACTGTGACATAATAAATTTTTCTTGTTTAAAGCCACTAAATTTTGGAGTAATTTGTTATATAGCAACAGATAATGTTATGGGCTGAATGGTGTGTCACCTCCCTCCTTAAGAATTCATATGTTGAAGACCTAACGCCCCGTATTTCTTGGAATGGGACTGTATTTGGAGACAGAGCCTTTAAAGAGGCTGTTAAGTTAAAATGAGACCATTATGGTGGGCCCTAATCCAATCTTACTGATGTCCTTATAAGAGGAAGAGACACTAGGAATGTATATGCAGAGATAAGGCCGTGTGAGGACACAGCAAGAGGGCTGCCATCTGCAAGCCAGGGAGGAAGGCCTCAGGAGAAACCAACCCTGCTGACACCGTGATTGTGGACTTCCAGCCTCCTGCACTGTAAGACAATACATTTCTATTGTTTAAGCCACCCAGTCTGTGGTATCTTGTTATGGCAGCCCTAGAAAACTAACACAGATAACTAACACATCTTCTTATTTTATAGGTGGTATGGCAAAGCATCTTACCTCAAGTCAACTAGCTGGTTAGTAGTCAAGTGGCATGCATTCAGCCACCTGTGTAATTGTCATTGTCAACTAACCTCTCTGAAAATCAATCTCCTCGTCTGTAAAATGAAAGCTTAGACTAGACCAGGGTTGGCAAACTACATGGGCCATGTCTGGCTTGCTGCCTGTCTATGGAAACGTAAAGTTTTATTGGAACACAGCCATGCTCATTTGTTTGCATGTGTCTATCTACAGCTGCTTTTATACCACAACAGTGGAGTTGAGTAGTTGCAAAAGACACCAGATGGCCAGCAAAGCCTATAATATTTATTATCTGGCTGTTGGCAGAAAAAGTTAGCCTGCCAACCCCTGGACTAGGCAGTCTCCAAGGAATCATCAAGTTTTAAAATCTCACAGTCCTAGGACTCTAGAACCTAGGACCCTGACATCCAGTATGACAGCCTTTACGTTAGACCAGTGATTCTCAAAAGGTGATCCCTGGACCAGTAGCAGCATATTACCTGGGAACTTCCTGGAAATACAGATAATCAGGCCCTACCCCAGACATACTAAATCAGAAACTCCGGTGGTGTGGCCCAGCAATTTGTGTTTTCACAAGGCTTCCATGCACTGATGGGAACCATGGCCCTCCACGAATCTCCCAACCCACACTGCTACACACAAAACTAGGTGACAATTATTTTGCTCTTAAAAAAAAAAAAAAAGAGGACAGGACCAGAGCAGAACAGTGCTTCCCTCCCACTAACTCACCCAAGATAAGAGCATTTTAAGGGACACAATCCAGTGCTTCTTGGGAAAATTATATTAAACCATCAGCAGCAGCATCATATGATGGTTTGATCTCTATCGTTCATCTCTTTTTGTGGAATTAGTTTAAAAGAAAAAACCACAGCTGTCAAACTGTGTGTTGATTTTAGCAGCCAGTTACAACTGTCCTCTAAGTTGAACAGCCTGACAATGTTAATCTCCTCCAAGAAAAAAAAAAAAAGGCATTTTGCATCGTATACTTGACATGCTAAACAAAAAGCAGACCCAGAATGGTCTAAGACCCAGAAAATAAAGTCTAATTTTGATTTATATATTGGAAATTTACCGCAACAAAATTAGGGCATTCAATATATTTTCTAAATGTAAAAGCTTAAAGAAAAAAAGAAAGAGAGAAAAAAGAAACAGGAAATCATGACACCCACACACTCAGAAGAGGAATCCCAGGACCAGAAAACCATTTCCTGCCTTACAAGGTAACAGAAACGTCTCTTCTTTATCTAAAATCCGGTTCCTGTGCCACTCAGAATCAAGAGCTAAGCCAAAACGTGGGTTCAGGGTTGGCAGAATTCGCTCTTTCTTCTTTTCCTTGAAAAGCACAGAACTACAGCTGAGTTTCCCTTTTTCTCTTCTTTATGCCTGAGAAACGAGGAGGCATAAATGTTCCATAGTGTTCCATTAATGGAAGGGTAGAGCCCCTGCCCCCTCCCTAGCATGGCTCACTCTTCCAAGATGACCTTGCTTGGCCCTTGTGACAACTGGAATCTCCACCAAAAATGCTGGCTCGTAAGCAGTGATTTCATGTCCTGCATTCAGACCCAATCCTGGTGCCCTTCCTCAACTTTCTAGGACACTTAGTTTTACTCCAACATCGTCAGAAACCAATAAGACGTGCTGGTCGTGGTGGCTCACGCCTGTAATCCCAGCACTTTGGGAGGCCAAGGCAGGTGGATCACTTGAGGTCAAGAGTCTGAGACCAGCCTGGGCAACATGCTGAAACACTGTCTCTACTAAAAATACAAAAATTAGCTGGGCATGATGGTGCATGCTACTCTGGGGGCTGAGGCAGGAGAATCGCTTGAGCCCGAGAGGCAGAGGTTGCAGTGAGCCAAGATCGCACCACTGAACTCCAGCCCGGGCAACAGAGCAATACTCTGTCTCAAAAACAAAAGAAAATGAAAGACAACAACAACAACAATAAGACGTAACCAATAGCATGGTAGCATTTTACTTTTAGGCCAGAATTATACAATACAAAAATCAAGATTTTGCAATTATCTGCTCACTTGGGAATATAAAGAGACTCACACCATGCCATTTGGGAAAATACACTTCTATTTTAGTTTCTATTTGCCTATTTTTTCAGATGTCAAAGTTCTAATGCTCTATATGGAATTGAGGGGATTAACCAATTTACTGACCTGGGCCTGAAGGGTCAATCAGGTCCACTTCTCCATCTCAAAGAAGGAACAAATGGTCATTTTTCTTTTCTCGAATCTGCCTCTCTAGGAGAGATTGCTCACTCTAGAGAAGTTTTAGGAGTATTCACTAATTATCAGGACCATGTCTTCTGGCAGAAATGAGAAACAAGCAGGAAGCCTGACAAATGATGTAGTTGCTACAAATAGATGCTATGAAGGAACTCCTAGATAGATGTTGATATGGGCACTTGCACCGATTCAGCCAGCATTTTTGGTTACCTGGTATACAGTCAACAATCTTAGGTTCCCTGATGCTTTCCTCTCAAAAAAGATTCAGAAGCCATTCCTGAATATAAAATGGTACACTCACTTTGGAAAGCAGTTTGGCAACTCTTGCAAAGTTAAATTACACCTACCTTCTGATCCACCTAGTCCATGTTTAGATATTTATCTAAATAAAAATATTTACCCAAAAGCAAGCCTATGTCCATATAAAGACCTGTAAGTGAATGTTTATAGCGACTTTATTTATAATAGACAAAAACTGGAGACAACCCAAATGTCAATCAGCAGCAGAATAGATTAAAAACTAGCGGTATATCTACACAATGAAACACCATTAGCGATCAAAAGGAATAAACTATTGGTGCACACCATGCTGATGTATCCCCAAACCATCACACTGAGTGCAAATAGCCAGATTAAAAAAAAAAAAATACAATACTGTGCAGCTCTATTGACACGAAGCTCCCGAAACTGATCTCTAGTGACAGAAAATCATTGCTGGCTGCCTGAGGCTAGGGTGGGTGGAAAGGTGAGGACAGAAAGTGTGGGAGATTACAAAGGGGCAAGAGGAAATTTTGGGGGGATGAATATGATCACTATCTTGATTGTGGGTGCACACGTTTGTCAAAACTCATCAGATTGTACATGTAAATATGTACAATGTATTGCATGTCAATTAAATCTTAATAAGCACTTTTTTAAAAGGTGTTATTCTTGCCTTATTATTGAAGAGTCAAAATCTGCCAACTGGAAATGTGTGATGTATTCACTAAGCTGACTTTGGAAAGTCAGATTAGATGTCACCTTTAGGCCGGGTGCAGTGACTCCTGCCTGTAATCCCAGCACTTTAGGAGGCTGAGGCAGGAGGATTGCTTTGTGGCCAGGAGTTTCAGACCAGCCTGGGTAACAAAGCAAGACCCAGTCTCTACTATATCTATATCTATCTATATCTATATCTATATCTATATCTATATCTATCTATATATACACACACATATATATTTTAAAACATATATTTAAAAACATATACATATGTTTTAAAACACATATACATATGTATTTTAATATATGTATATATACACATATATTTTAAATAAACGTGTTTTTAAAAACATACGTAAAAACATACATTTTTTAAAATATACATATATGTTTTTTTAATACACATATTTTTTAAAAGGTACTAGTTTTAGCACTCTGAATTGTTCTGTGCTGAGAAATCTCATCTCTCTCATTCTGCATTCCCCATCCTCACCCCCACACCCACTTGAACACCAGGGCTTCAGACTCGTATGACACCACCAGGGGAAGAGAAGAGCATGAGAGCAAATCTTCCTCTCCTTTCTGTGAAGTTAACAAAAGGGACAAACCCAACATAAAGGTCAGGAGTCAGAAATGCCCATGACCCGCCCCCCATGCACACCACAGCAACCAGTCTTTGGCAGGAATTTACCTTGAACTGAGTAACGGGGCCTTTGGAGTGGGTTCAGGCTAGACTGCAGACTCATCACAGGAGCCCATAGCATGAGAGAAGAGAGAGACACCCTCAGGCCCCCTCCTGGGGAAGATTCTTGTCTTTCTGACGTCATCAGAAAGCCTCCTGCTTTGCAAAGCGGACTGTTGCCCACACACCGGATCACCGGGAAGATGCCACTCTATGCCAAGCAGCAGGTGAGTTACTCCACTCACACTCCCAGCTTTAGGGTTTGCCAGTGACACCAAGGAGCAGGCCCTCTCACCTGCATCTCTGCTAACTCTCCCACCTGGAGGCCACACAGTCCTTCCCACCCACGGTGGTTACAGCAGTAGCCTCCTTCCACCGCTGAATAATCTACGGCTCCCATCCCAGTCTAGCCCCAGACAAGCCCCAGTTGCTCTCATCCAAATCGGCTCTCATGAGCTGATGAGGCTTTCTGATGCGGTCTTATCCCAGATGAAGGAGGCAGCCTTAGTGTCTAGGATGTTCTGCCTTCTCAGAACACAGGTTCCAAAGCAAGCTCCAATGTCAACATCATGGATTCATGCTGAAACAACAAAGATTTGTGATGCCTGTCATATAGACTCAGGTCTCCAAAATCATGGGGCTACCTTCTAATGGAGAGCCAGACAGTGCATGGTTCTCTGTCCTAAGTCTAAGCACCACCACTGGAGATGCCATCAACTCTTCTGTTTGAAACATTCTCCTGGCCATTGTGTGTGTGCTTCAGCGTCTCACAGAGAAAGAACTTTGTTTGGGGATTGTTGGGTTTTTTTGACAGTGGTGTCCCTGTGTCGCCCAGGCTGGTCTCGAACTCCTGGGCTCAAGTGATCCTCCCCCTTCAGCCTTCCACATAGCTGGGATTGCAGGCTTGCACCACCACACCCAGATGTCCAGAAAAGTGATGCTGCTATTTGTTCAGTCAATGTCAATGCTTAGTAAATTGGAGGGACCATAAGCAGCTTACCACACAGAATATTAATTTCACATCTTCAGTATAAAAGAATGGTTCACAACCTGAACCAATTTGCCTCTCAGGGGACATTTGGTAATATCCGGAGATGTTTTGGGCTGTCACAAATGGGAGTGGAGGAGTGCTCCTGGCATATAGTGGGTCAAGGACACGGATAGAGCTAAACATGCTACAGTGCTTAGTACAGCATGCACACGAGTGTACACATACACACACAACAAAGAATTATCTGGTCCAGAGTGTCAGTGGTACGAAGGTTGAGAAACGTTGATACGTAGTGAAAAGTTGTGTCTTTCCATAGACCTCCAAAATTTACGGGAAAGTAAGCCACCTCTGTTTTAAGTTCAGTTTTCAGAATGTAGTTTTAGGCAAGGCATCTGATTTTTCCTGCCTCGGTTTCCCATGTCTGCAAAATGGGAAAGATTCTGGGTCATTTGTTCCTCTTCTCTCTCTCCTTCCCTGAGAGCTGCTAATGAATAGTTGCCAACTACGTTGAAGACTCTAATTACTGTTATCCCTAGGATATCAGTTCAAGATTGTAGGGCACCCTGGAGTCCTGCAGATGGGAGATACTGAGCTTAAAAGGAGCCAGTCCTGTCCTTGTTGTACCATTTATCATTCTCAAAGGGCAGTATCAAGCCCTTAGGCCTGAATTACTCAAAGTTGAATTACTCAAATCAACTCTAGCATCTGCTGAAGGCAACCCAGGGTTCTCACAATTAAATCACAGTCTTTTCCAAAGTCAGGGACTGAGGACTTCAGCTGAGGGTTTCCCTTAACCAGCAAGTGAGATTCAGAAAATCCTAGCATATAGGGAACATTTCACACATCTTTGTTGATTGACTACTTGATGCATAATTCCAATAAAATGTATTAATATGATAAAACTGGGGGTACCTAAGATTCAAAGTTGCCATTAGGATTCAAAACACCAAGAAACCTTTCCTGTGCCTCCCAATAGCGTAAGCGCTGCCATTCGAAAAAAAAAAGTTTGTAATTCAAAGTCTGCTGGATGATTGCAAAGTTGTGCCTTCACAAAGTTCTCACCAAGCAGGGGATAGCCTGATGTTCACGCCAAATACTTACCTAAAGCAAAGATGAGCCCCACAACTGACAAGCTCCACAACTATCTTCCCTGCTCACGACCCCATCCGGATGCTGGACACCTCTCTATCTGGAAAGGATGGAAGTCTCTAGGTCACGGTCCTGTAGGAATCAACCTGCAAAACTCCACTGAGCACACACTGCTGTGAAAACCACAGTGGGACATCAAATATATGAAGACACGCTGGGGCACAGTGGCTCACGCCTGTAATCCCAGCACTTTGGGAGGCTGAGGTGGGAGGATCGCTTGAGGCCAGGAGTTTGAGACCAGCTCAGGCAACATAATGGGACCCTGTCTCTACAAAAAATTTAAAAATTAGCCAGGCATGGTGTCACACACCTGTGGTCCCACCTACTCAGGAGGCTGAGGCAGGAGGATGGCTTGAGCCTGGGAGGTTGAGGCTGCAGTGAGTGATGATTGCACCACATCACTCCAGCCTGGGAAACAGCCAGACTCTGTCTCGAAATATATACATGTATACGAAGACATGGTATCTGTCCTCATGGAGCATCCAACTGACCCAAGAAGTAAATGCTGGCATCAAATTACAGAAACCTCATATACCAGATAAGTGTAAGTATTCATTTGAGTGGCACCGCTGATGACAAATTCAGAGAAAAGGACTTGGAATGGGTTGGGCAGGCTTCCTACGGTTGGGAAGTATAGGTAGGAGTTCTGAGACAGCTAAAAGAGTCACCCAAGCCTTCCTCCTCAGTTCTAGGCCAATTGCAAGAAGATCATTCAGGTTTTCCAGGCAAGATGTTCCCGGGCGAAAGGCCCTGAGTTCTGGCATGGGTTGTTTTGTTTCCTTATTCAGCCGAGTGGCTACTGACAGCAGCCCATAGCCCAGGCCCCCCGGAATTTGTTATTGATCAAGCGAGGACTGAACCAGACCCATGGTTCTCAAACGTGAGGTCTGAGATTCTTCATTTTTAGCCTGTTCCCTGGTGTCAGCCTAGAGACTTCACTTTAAGAATCACTAAATGAGAGTGTGGGTAGATAAAAGCAAAGTACGATGCCCCTTTCGGGAAAATTATGCAAAATGCACATCTAAACAAAGGCCTGTTGGGAGCATCGGTCCTTGCTGAAGCTGCACCTCCTAGCCTAGGCAGTTATATGACATCATTTTACTAGGTGTTCAGCATCAGGAACTCAGGAAGTCTCAAAGACCTGGCTCCACTAAACAAATATTTCTTGAACCCCTGCCATGGAACAAGGGCTTTGCTGTGATATCATCCCACTGCAACGTTCATCTCATTTCGACGGGTCTGAGCTCAACTGTGCAAAAATGATTCTTTGAGTTGACACAAAGGGAAGCGGGGGATAGACATGGATCTTGCATGAGATTTGAGACACACACACCACGCACCCTGAAGTGACCTAGCACAGGAAGGGGTGGAGGCCAGAAAAGGGGACCAAAGAGAAAAAAACAACTCACGGCAGACAACAGATAAACCACTTTGCGGTTAGGTCCAGAGAATAGGAATTGAATCAATTCTGGAAAGTGGTTTCCTCCCAGATCTGCTTGATTCTCACCTTGCACATTTGTGACGAGCATTTTCTTCCTTTTTAAAAAAGCTGCTTAGCCATAAAGGCAACCTTGCATCCCATTTGCTATTTTACAGAGCCTCTTACTGAATTCCTATGGAGCAGATATACACTCACCCATGGCAAATCTGAGCTCATCCTTGCAATGAAGACCAGAGCCATTCTCTGCCAGCAGAGCTGCTTTTTATTTCTTTTTAATGAGTGAAGTTGAAAAATAAGTTCATCAGCTGAAACTGCCAGGGAAATTTGAGACAGCAAATGCAATTATCAACTCAGTTGAAATGTATTATTAAGAATAATGCCCAGCTCTGTTGTAGCATTTTCTGGCTTCAAAGCCATTTACAAACATCAACTAATTAATCCTTACCTCAGCATGGTGAAGCAATTAAGTATGATTATCCCCATTTTACAGAGGGGGAAACTGAGGCACCCAGCGGTTAAGCACCTTGCCCAAGGCCACAGAAAGGATGGGGGACTAGAATCACAGGCATTCTCTGACTTCAATTACACACTGAAAAGCTCTCATGGCCAAGGAAAAGTGAAGTCCATCAGCAGAGAGCGTCCCTGAAAAAAAAAGGAGGGGAGAATGATGGAGAAATCTTTAGCCCCTGCTTTCCATAGCACCTTTTTACAAATAATCAGAATTTTATTTTTCTCTAGTGTTTTCCTTCCTCATTAACTTTTTTAAAACATGCTGACTTGGGGAAAATGCCAAAGCATTTTAATGATGTATGAAATAAAATAATAATAATAAAACCTTCTGCCCACACAAAGAGAATCCGAGCCTGGTGTTTGGAATGGTGCTTTTCTTCCCCCCTCGCACGTTCATAGCACCCCATTTCTGTGCCTTGTCACTCAGCTGCAGCCAGAAACTTATTTTTATTATTTGGGGAAAATAAAATGAACATTGAAACTCAGCAGGCTTGGCCAGAAGAGCAGAACTTTGCCTTTTCTACCCTTTTACAAATCCTATATTCTCTCCCATTCCCATTCCCCTGAACTTTTCACCAAGCTGCCAGCCCCACCAGAAAAACCTACGTGGGTGTTTTGTTTGTTCCTTGCATTTTGCCTGATTTTCTCTCATTTTCCCTTCTGTTTTCAGATCTTCAACAGGAAAGGTGAGTGCTGCCACTAAGTCTCCCCTCGTTCAGGTTAAAGGCCCCATGGTTGATAGTTAAGGGGCCGAGACAGGCTGGAAGCACCAGTGTCACATCACGATGTCCCAGGGTCCACAGCTGCTTTTGAGCCCATCACCATCGTCTTCCTGGGCTTTAGTGGACTCCTGTTGCACCTGTCCTTGCAGTGGTGAGCACAGTCTCCTCTTCCTTCAATCGCCCACTGATGGCAGATAGGGAAGGCAGAGGGGATGGGGTGAAGGCACCGGGTCAGCTCCCCCACACCCTGCTCCTGCCAGATAGGAGCCCCCCCACAAGTCCTCTCTCAATCCTGCACCCCAGCTTAAGCTTTTCCTGCTGCACGAACCCATCAGCACTATCCCCCGAGCCTGTCTGTTCACCAGCGGTACTCTCTTCTCCTTGGGTTCATGTAAAGTTGTCTCAATGAGTTTTTAAAATGCCATACTGTTTAAAAGACATATATAAAAACTCTTTTGAAACAGGCAAAATTAAACTTTAGGTTGGTGATGAGGGACACCCACTTGGGTGCTAAAACTAGAAAGAAAATAATAGCACAGAAATAATTACCACAGGGATCGGGCACCACTCCTGGACCAGGAAGCTTGGATCAGGTGCTGCCGCCACTCCTGAGGCAGATGCCACTCGGAATCCACAAAGCCAGCTAATGGATACCAAAATATGGCAGTGGAAAAACTCCATGTCTTCACCGCCATATCTGTGGTGGAAAAAATCGCCAAATGTCATGTCAAATCACCTGAGTAGTGAAATCTAATTTGCATCCAGAACCCTCGCTGCAAGGGAGTCAAATAACGTGTTCTTCAGCTTCCTAATCTCTGCAGTTCAGGAAAACACACCAGAAAGGGATGGAAATGGATTCTGAGAGTCAAAGACCCATATTCACCCCAAGCAGTGTATAAACGTTTGCAACTAATAAAGGCTGTGAAAATTTGTCCTTTAGAGGTGCTTGTGCCTCATGAAGCAGCAAAGGCAAGCACCAAACAATATGACAGAGCTATCTTACAGGAAAACAATAGCACAAAGGAGGCAGGCCAGAAGTTAGGACCTACAGCTGTGGGCCTGGCACAGTGGCTCATACCTGTAATCCCAGTGCTTTTAAAGTCTGAGATAGGAAGATCGCTCGAGCCCAGGAGTTCGAGACCAGCCTGGGCAACATGGTGAGACTCTGTCTCAAAAAAAAAAAAAAAAAAAAAAAAAAATTAGCCAGGCATGGTGGTGCATGCCTGTAGTCCCAGCTATTGTGGAGGCTAAGGTGGAAGGATAGCTTGAGCACAGGAGTTCAAGGCCACAGTGAGCCAAGATTGTGCCACTGCACTCCAGCCTAGGTGACAGAGAAAAAAACCCATCTCTTAAAAAAAAAAAAAAAAAACTACAGAGACCCAACTTTTGATGGGTAGCTTTGTCTACTCTATCATAATGGTTTCCTCATAAGAATGTTGCAATGATTCAACAAATTGATGCATGTAAAGTATATAGGATACTGCCGGGCACTTAAAAAGTATTATTAAACGTTAGCTATTGTTAACATTATAAACATTACCAGTACATATGAATATAATACTATTAATATTAATTATTTGTGCTTGGTTTTTTTATATGCCAGACTTTGACTAAAATTGGACTGAGAGTGATCACCTCGTGCCAGACTTACCTTCTGCCCTTATAGATCCCCAGTCATGCCCAGGAAATAATCACAGCCTTCATTCTAAAGAATAGTGGGAGACACTTGCTTCATATAAAAATAAGTGCCGTGTGCTGACTAATTCCCCTTTAATGCAGCACGCTCTTTCTTTTCTTCTCCTACATTGGAGTTGTCTATTGCTTGGTCTCTGGGAATGTGGGGCGGGGGGGGTGAGTGCCATTCCCCCCATGAGAAATATCAATATCAGCCTTGATTCTGTTTGATAAACTCGGAAAACAAGGCCCCTTGCGCCCTGGCCCTGCCCTCCCCACTTAGCCCTGCCCCACTCTGCTCAGCCCCGCCCAGCCTAGCCCCTCCCACCCTGCATAGCCCCGCCCCATCTCGTCTAGCCCGGCCCTGTCCCATATAGCCCCGCCCCACCCAGCTTGCCTCCCGGCTCCCGCCCCCCCTTCCCACCCCCCACCCCTGCCCTCCTGGTTGACCACACTTGTGTGAACTGTTCCTGCAGCCTCCTCCACACAGCAGCCATCACTGCCTGTCAAGGTTCACCTTAGGTGCCTTCTTCAGGAGCCTTCTCTCAACCCCAGAGCTCAGCTAAGTGTCCCGCCTCGAGCTCCGTCTTGACACAACCGCGTTCAATGGAAAGTGTCTCTGTTCCGCGTCAGTCCCTCTCGCTAGACTAGGGGAACATCAGGGTTGTAGCTGGCTCTTGTTCATTTCAACATTCTCGTGCCTGGCATGCTGCCAGCACATAGTAGGTATTCAATAAATGTTTGTTTAATCCAAACATAAGAGAACAATTGATTGGACCCTGCCTTCTACCAAGGTGGCAACGACGAGGCCCCTTTTTCCGTTTCTGTCTGCCTTCCTGCACACACACCTCTCCATCGGCGCCTCCCACACTCGTCCATCACCATGGGCATCTGGGGAGAGTTTCAGATACAGATTTCTAGGCCCCCACGTGGAGATTTTAAACATCTTTCCCCACATAATTCTGATACAGAGACAGGTTTTGGAATCATTGGTAAAGTTCGGTGAGATAAATCTGAAATGATGTAAAAATGATGTTTCTGGAGAAATGGAAATGAAACAGTAACATTCACATAAAACGCTTGACAAGCTATGGCCAGAGGGGAGGGGAAAGGGGGAAAAAATCTTGTCTTGAGTCCTGGAATTTTAGATTTGTAGCGCAAATAACCTCAAGCAAAATAAATTTAGTCGAAGACAGTGCACAACACCAGGACACCTGTCAAGTACACCGTTTCTTCTCTTTCGAGAAAGCAGAAGAGAGAGAGAGAGAAAAGTAGCAGTCTTCCTTAGTGAAAGCCTACAAACTTGAATCTTTGGTAAACGCCAGAATATCTTCGATAACACATTTACACACCTATAAAAACAAGAAGTTCGGTCAGAAATGCCAATAAATGATTCTGAGCCTGTCTTAAAGCCATACAGCTGCAAAAACATAAAACATCTCTCAGATTTTTTAGAGCAACAGCTTCAGAAGAAGAAAAAACGCCCATATACAGTCTAAAGTAGAATGACTTTTTGAAGTTTTTATAGTAAAAAAAAAAAAAAAAGACGGTCTTTGCCGTTTTATTCTGTGTATTTTATTTCTTTTTGCAAAATTGACTAAAGAGATATACAAAGACTAGAAGTTTACATAGAAGGAGAGAGGAGTTTGTGATCAGAGCCGGAGAAGAGGAAGCGAATGGGTTGAAATTAAGTTGAACTTTTTCTTGCTTAGTATCCAGCCTGATTCCAGGCTGAAACTTTGCCATTGGCACAGATTAAAATAAGGGAGAATATTAAGAGGAAACTGTGAGTAGTCAAATCCAGGTACAAGAAGAATGTCCCATGCCATCTTGACATTGAACCAAGCCAGTGATGGGTAGAGAAGAGATCTGTTAAGCCCTCAAGATAACATTTCAACACCCGCCATCCTAGCCACTAGCCACCCTTGGATCTGGGTTTCCATGAAGCCACTTTCAGCTGTCTCAGATGTCGTTCTACCCATTTCTGATCCGGCTGGAAGTGCTTGTTTGTTCAGCTTTCCCCCTTCGGCACAGCAAGAAGTTACTCTGTTGTAATTCCAGTTCTAGTGAGCTTGGTGCATCTTTAACAGTTCTTGTGTTGCTATTAACTTAGTGACTAACTGAGAGGTGTTTAGCTTTTGAAACAGTGCCACAAAAACTTCGCCCTCATCTCTGGGTGATGTCAGCCCCATAAATGGGAGCGCTGGAGGGAACAATAGAGATTGCAGTGGTAAATTTTAATGAGGTGGACCCTTCTTTGCCCCAAATCTGAAATTACGCCCAGGTTTTGTACCAGGCAGTGAAATGTATCTCTGAAATAATTTAGGATGTAAATTCTGATTTAAGAGTAATTTTGGTGCTTTGGCTTTTAAATTCCATTGGGGGGAAAAATCATCAAGTCTTTTTACATTCTCCACTACCAGATGATTTCAAGAGACTCATAAAGACTTTATGAGAAGAAACTGCTGATTTCTCAATGGAGTTGGCATAGATGGTCCAAACAAGCCTTAAAGCAGCTCTTAAAGGTAGGAGACAGTAAATTTAGCACGAGAAACTAAAAGACACTAGCCTCGGAAAGCCTCAATGAAAACACCCAGCAAGCAGACAGTTCAAGGAGAGACCAAAACTCAGCACTCTTCTTTATAGGGACCTAGATTCGTTCAGAGTTAGAGAAATAGTCTAGACATCAATGTATCCTAGATGGCTATGTGTGCCCAGAAGAAAGATACAGTCATGATCTTAAATCCATAGTTTAACTTCACAGTCATGATTTTAAGTCTATGTTTTAACTTTACAGACGAATCATGAAATTTAGCACCCATGTTGACCTGCTGACAACTAAACCATAATATTAATTAATGGTTCATGGGACCTTGGCCAAGGCCTACATTAAAACAGACAATGCTTATGCTGACGTGGCACAATCTCTTCAATAAGTACAATTAACTTTTCACTTTTTTAATGGTTTCCTCCAGCCAATGCCATAGAGAGGCGTTTCCATCTATCTTCAATGGCCTCCCAGTCACTCTCAGGCCTTTATATCCAGCAAAAACAAACAAGCTACATGATGCTAAGTGTTGCAAAAAATAAAGAGTTTAGGAGCTCAGTCAAATGCATGGGTTTGTATTTCTAAATTCCGAGGTTTTTTTTGTTGTTGTTGCTTTTTGTTTTTTTGTTTTTTGTTTTTTGAGATGGAGTCTCACTCTGCTGCCCAGGCTGGAGGCAGTGGCTCAATCTAGGCTCACTGCAACCTCCACCTCCCGGGTTCAAGCAGTTTTCTGCCTCAGCCTCCTGAATAGCTGGGATTACAGGCACCTGCCGCCATGCCGGGCTAATTTTTGTATTTTTAGTACAGATGGGGTTTCACTATCTTGGCCAGGCTGGTCTTGAACTCCTGACCTCCTGATCCACCCACCTCAGCCTCCCAAAGTGCTGGGATTACAGGCGTGAGCCACTGTGCCCAGCCGTTTTGCTGTTTTTGAATTCTACTTCTTATGCTCAATCACTTTCTCTGGTAGTTATTAGGCTCCTAAGAGAATTTGATTTTAAACCCAATTCCAAATAGCTAATGTAAATGATGAGCATCTCAAGAAAGTTTTCTTTATTTATTATGTATGTGAAGTCCCTTTTGCTACTGTTGACTAAATGACCCCATGATAGAATGGGCCACCATCCCAAAATTACAGCACAGATTGAGAATTTCTAACATGAAGAGGCAAAGTACATGTGCTTTGCTGGGGAAAGTACCTCATGCTATCACCCTCATTTTTTCTTAGCACTCTATCCTTTTTTATTTGTTTTCATCTCAGTTTGTACCTTAGAATCTAGGACTCCTTGGAATAGTCAGCCTGTTTCCAAGTAGCAACTGAGACCTGAATTTTGGAGCCATGCAAGGGATTTTAAACACACGGTTTTATATCTACATGTCAAATAACAGAATCCGCATTACCATAGAATGACCATAAACTTGCGGTTTTTTTTTTAATTCTTCACTTAAATAAATGCATGTCTGTCATTGAAAAATAGCCACTCCCCAAGATACAAATAATGCCACCACTTTAATGCAGAGCTAATATAGTCCTAGAAGCCCCTTTGACATTGAAGAAATCTTCTTGAAGCAACATCTAGAAAGTGCGTCCATAGATAACTCTCAGTCCACAGAGGGTATCTTCACAAGCAGGTGCCAGTGAACTGGCTGAAATATCAAGATGCATTTTTCGAAATAATGAGAATCTATAACAGCTAGAAACCATTCATTCAGTCATTCTTTTTTTCCAGTTCTGCTTCTTCTAATGTGAGTTTTGGGGAATAGATATTGATAGGTAATAAACAGCAGCTGCAATAATGCTATTCAATGAATACAGCCATTTTTCTTCTATAGTGTTCTATCCATGGGCTCAAGATCCTACAAACTAAAAGACAGCAGAGGCAGTATTACCAGCTTACTAAGGACCACAAGCGTGACTAGTCCAAAAGTTTAACAGTATTTGTTTCACTTATTCCTAAACCAGGGTTTTCTTAATCCTACTGTATCGTATCTGCAAAGTAATTAAAAATAAGTCTTGTGAATTATGCCCTAAGGAAGGCTAGCTTTCCAGAAATAAAAAAAAATCAGGCAGAAAGATGTGAAATGATTTATTTAGCATAGGCCAGAATAAAGAACTGCCAGCTGCATCTTTCCTCATCCATTGCTGAATAAATCCCATTAATTTTCTCAATCTGATAAATTACTGATAAAATCAAAGGGAACATGAATCCCAATGTTCTTGTCTCCCAAATGAGGCCTAAAAATCTGTGTTTGTTTACATATGCATTTCCAAAATGAGTAATTTAAGATTGCATTGTTTATGTCATTTGGTACAGGCTGCCTTTAGGCATGAAGGACACCAGCATTTTAGTGGCAAATGCTGCCCCTGTCACCTGCACCAGCAAAACCTTTCAAAGAGAAGCCAGAGGAAGTCTTGGTGAAGAAGCTGGAAATGTTAGCACAAGACAGGATCTCCTGCTTCCTTCCTGTGCTGCTGATTCAAGATAGATGGTGGGCATGGGACTGGTTGAACAAGCCTGTGGGTGTAAGGAAATCACAGCTTGTGTGTATGGCATAAATCATTAGAGAAGGGTACATCAGCCTGACATGGGTGGTTAACACCCAGCCTGGCTCATTCTAAATAGAAAAGAAAATGAGACCAGGCACTGGTGGCTCACACCTGTAATCCTAGCCCTCTGAGAGGCTGAGGCGGGAGAATCACTTGAGCCCAGGAGTTTGAGACCAGCCTGGGCAACATAGCAAGACCTATCTCTATTTTTTTTTAATTATGAATGAAAAAAAATTTTAAAGAAAAAAATGACATCACCTGACCCTATGATATTATTGGCCTTAATCAATGCAGCAAACTCAACAGAAACTGGTTATTATAAGCATAGTGGTTGACAATGACTACAAATTATAACTCACAGTGATTGAGTATTTATTAAGTATCAGATACTATGGTGTTAAGATGAGTTGTCTAATTTCATCCTCCCCACAACCTTTGCAAGTGAAGTCATTAAAAGAATCAGTATGGAATGAACTGGGAATCCGGTTAAAGCTCTTTCTCTTAGCAGGCATGTGATGTTGGGCAACTAACCTTTCTAGACCTCAGTTTCCTTATCTGAAAAATGAGACAGTAATGCTGCATGCCTCACAGGGCTCTTGTAAGGATTGAGCCAGCTGATGTACATAGAGCACTAAGCATATCATAAGCACCGTTTACTTTTAATTTTATTTATTATTATTATTTCTTTTTTAAAAAAAGAGTTTCACTCTGTCACACAGGCTAGAATGCAATGGTGCAATCTCGGCTCACTGCAACCTCCGTCTCCCAGGTTCAAGTGATTCTCCTGCCTCAGCCTCCCAGGTAGTTGAGATTACAGGTGTCCACTACCACACCCAGCTAATTTTTTTGTAATTTAGTAGAGACGAGGTTTCATCATGTTGGCCAGGCTGGTCTCGAACTCCTGACTTCAAGTGATCTGCCTGCCTTGGCCTCCCAAAGTGCTGTGATCACAGGTGTGAAATCCCATGCCTGGCCAATTATTTTATTTTTAGGTTTTGGGGCTTTTGTGTTTTGTTCTTATTGTTTGTTTGTTTTTTGAGACAGGGTCTTCCTCTGCTGCCCTGGCTGGAGTGCTGTGGCTAGATCACAGCTCACTGTAACTTCTGCCTAATAGGTTCATGTGATCCTCCCACCTTAGCCTCCCAAGTAGCTGTGACTACAGGTGCATACCACCATGCCCAGTTAACTTTTTAATTTTTTTTTGTAGAGACAGGATCTCTCTATGTTGCCCAGGCTGGTCTTGAACTCCTGGACTCAAGCAATCTTCCCAACTCTGCCTCCCAAAGTCCTGGGATTACAGGCATAAGCCACTGCACCCTGCCCTTTTAGTTATGTTTGATTTATGCTTATAAAGTAAATTGACACTGAGAGTGCAATATCTTTCGAAAATATCAAACATAATATTTTTCGTGAGAAAAAATGCACATTAGCGAGTATAAGTATCCTGCCATTGATCGCCAGAGAGTTCCGTTTCTGTGCCTGGCTGCAAGCGTATCGCTTTCCTCCTTCATGACCACCATGTGTGTCCCTCCCAGGGTCTTGCTGTTTGTGCAACAACCTGTCCAGGTTGGACAAAACCGTGCTTCTGTGAAAGATACACAAGCCCTTGCACTTTCCAGAAAAGTGAAAGAGAAAGTTAAGGATGGCACATCTCTCTTAAGCTCAAGTTCAGTTCAGGTGTGTCCTGCAGTAGCTGCCTTGGCTCTCTGTGCAGCCACAGCTCACACTGCTCTGTGTCATCATCCCACTCTCTAGATCTGCTGAGATATGGATGTTTATCCCCGTAGCCTTATAACAGAGTGAAGGGGCAAGAATTGCTCTCCCTGTCTTCACGAGGTGATTATATTAAAACCTTATTGCCAACATGACCTCCTAATTATTCCAGAGTGCCAAGATCTGGCCTTCCACAGTGCCTTTCCACACAATTACCATTGAGCCTGATGACCCTGCTCTTTTCCTATTTTCAATTTCACTTTTAAAATTACCAGGTTCTCTAAATCCGATGAAGGACTACCTCCACCATAAGAAAACAGCATATAAGGCACTGCATTTTCTATTTGTAAATATTAAAATAAAAGGGGGACTTCAGCCCCTGTTGATACAAACGTCAGCCTTGGGCTACAACCCCTGATTCCTATAAGATTTTTGTGTCCCCATCCTCCAGGGAATGGATACAACTAATTGCTCCAAGCAAGGTTGGAATCGCCATGCTGGCAACTTGGTTCTCTCTAGAATTGTGCCTGCACCTAAAACCATTTCCTAGAAGCAAGGGAAGGTGAGACTATTGGCCTGTGGAACAGTGAGTTTTCTATCATTTAATGCTCCCATCTGGTTACCACACACAGAAGAGCAAGCATAGGAAAATGTGTTTTCTATGAAAGTTCATTCTTGATCTTTTTTGAGCACTGGAATCACAGGATGAACTACTTTCTGAATATATTGTGTTTAAAAAGAGAATAAAGCCAGGCATGGAAATGCACACCTGTAATCCCAGCTACTTGAGAGGTTGAGGCAGGAAGATCACTTGAGCCAAGGAGTTCAAGACCAGCCTGGGCAACATAGAAAGACCTGGTCTCTAAAAAAAAAAAAGAGAGAGAGAGACAGAAAATAAAACTAGTATACCCAGTAGCTCCGATATTTGAAGGTGGGGTGGGTGACGGTGAATAGGTGAATAGAAGGTATTTTTGAGGAATATTTCTTCATTCTTCCTGGCAAAGGAAGAATCATGGAGAGGGCTGGGATTCTCTTTGCTCATTTTTTTTTTTTTGAGGCAGAGTCTCGCTTTGTCACCCAAGCTGGAGTGCAGTGGCTTGATCTCAGCTCACTGCAGTCTCTGCCTCCCCGGTTCAAGCAATTCTCCTGTCTCAGCCTCCTGAGTAGCTGGGATTGCAGGTGTGCACCACCATGCCCAGCTAATTTTTGTATTTTTAGTAGAGATGGGGTTTCATCATGTTGGCCAGACTGGTCTTGAACTCCTGACCTCAAGTGATCCACCTGCCTCAGTCTCCCAAAGTGCTAGGATTACAAGGGTGAACCATCATGCTCCGCCTGTCTTTGCATTCTGAAAGACTTCATGATGGTGATCTGCAGGGTGCTGAAATTTAAATGCACACACTCCGAAAAGGTCAAAGAAGTAAATGCTGGGTTCTTTTTGGTGCTGTCATTAGATACCATTTTACCAGCTTCATGGCCCTCAGAGGTCGAGTAGTGGAAGCGTGGCTGTCAGAACGTCAGGGTTTGTGGATGGTGCTTCTGGTACCCACCTATTTAGGATCTGTCACTGGTTCACTGGCCTTTTGGGCTGCCACTCTGGGTTTCCGTTTACTCACCTGTGAAGGACAAGTAATAATACCTACTTTACCTTCCTCCAAGGGATGTGGCTGCCCAATATAATTAAGAACTTTTAAGGTTCTCGTATTAAAGTATTAACAAGAATCCTCCCAAAATGGAAAAAAAAAAAACAAGATAGGAGTTCGTGGCTGCACTTGTCTGTTACTCCTGAGTACCTTACAACCATTAATGGCTAAAGGCAAGAAGACGCCAGGACTGATGTCACCGGCTCTGTAGTTCAACCGTCTTCTCCCCTGGTATGCTGGGAACGCTTAGGCAATTGACTTAAGCACCCCATGGCTCAGTTTGCTCACCTGTAAAATGGGTATAATCGTACTCACTACCTCATTCATAGTTAATTAATGATGTATAAAGCTTTTGAAACTATAAAGTCCAATGTATGTGCTAATTATTATAAATCCAAAAAAGCACCACAGTTCAATTTTTAATTACCTATATATTTTATTGAAAATACATAAAGCACATAATAAAATTAACCTAAGTGTCAAAAATTACTGCTTGCCTGTGCTGTCTTGTCCATCTCTCTGCCAGAATTACAGGAGCAATTTTCTAAACTAAATTAATAATTTCATTTTAGTGGTAGAAGTTGAACCAATATGACCAGGCCTGACCTATGATTTAATGTGTTATAAAATAGCATCTCCCATTCTTGCCTCAATTTCCCTTAGTTATTATAACTCAATTAATATAATACTAGAGCCTATTACCAAAATGTTGTAATAAAATTAAATAGAGATTTATGTCAGTTTCATGTTAAGGGTTTTAAACACTGAAGAATGATCACATTTTAAATTTAGATCTTTGAAGAGTAACCTAAAATATTCCATACAAGGGAAAAATATTTTTAAACTATTTTAAGACATAATTTAGAAGGAGAAAATCTAAAGTACAAGAAGGAGAAAATCTACAGGTACCCATCTTGGGCTTCTAACACTCAATTACCAAAAAAAAAAAAAAATGTCATTTTCTACGTTCTTCGCTTTCTCAAAACAGAATAGATTCTAGATCATAACAGTGAACATAAGCCCAGCAAACTCTGGGCTTATTCTTGTTTAATAATCAGTGGCCCATGGACATTAGACATTCAGAATTTCAAGTCCAAAAGGAGGACAAGAGATACAAAATGAAATTTTGGGTGTCGTTGGCCTTTAGAAGATGAGAGTAAAATTAATATCAGCCACATTTCTGAAGCCCGTTAGAATAAAATATTGTAATAAAGCCAGGAAGACCAAGACCATGTGGTCCCCTGTTTCAAATTAGTTAGCAGGTAGCTGGGAGATAACACCAAAGATTTCAAGAAACAACCTGAGACTCATCTGAAAGGCGTATGTAGGAAAGGCACATGGTAGCTGAAGGAATGAAAGAATGGGAAATGGAGGAATAAGTCCGTGCTGCTGCTAAGGGAATTCAGTGCAAGGAAACGAGCTCTGTGAAAATTTCTGGGGGCCAGGCATGGTGGCTCACACCTGTAATCCCAGCACTTTGGAAGGCTAAGGCAGGAAGATGGCTTGAAGCCAGGAGTTTGAGACCAGCCTGGGCAACATAGCGAGACCCTGTCTCTAACAAAAGTTTAAAAATTAGCCAGGCATGGTAGCATGCGTCTATAGTCCCAGCTATTTGGGAAGCTGAGGCAAAAGGATCCATTGAGCCTGAGAGTTCAAGGCTACAATGAGCTGTGATTGTGCAATTGCATTCTAGCTTGGGCAACAGAGAGAGACCTCGGCTCTAAAAAATAAAAATAAATAAAAAGGGAAAAAAGAAAAATTCTGGGTGCGTGTGTGTTCTCATTGTAGCCATAAAGAAAGGATGAGATCAGGAAGGGTACAGAGTTAGGGGAAATTAAGCTCTGCAAGGGAGTGTGTGATCCAGGTGTGGACGAGGGACCTTGGGAAGGAGGAAGACACATGAGGCTGCCCTTCCTGTGAAACCAAGCAAGCTAAACCAGCAGCGTTGCTCTGCACCCTGTCTGATTATATTTTAAGCTACAGACGAATCTGCAGCTATTACGGAACCACCTCTTCTAAGTGCCACCTTCAGTTGGCAATTCTTGATGGTACTGTCTCATTTGATGGCAAATGTGTCCCCCAGAGGGTTTAGCATAGGTGACAATGAGTGAAATTAATTCCTATGCTTTTAACAGCAAACATGCTGGATCCTGCTTGGAAAAGTTGGCCCTCACTGTTGTTTGTCTTATCCCAGACTGGCCCTCACTCCTACTCTCTCCTCTGCTGGCCACAAGCTGCAAAAGACACAAGACACATAATGTGTGCAGTTGGACTGGATCCAGAGCCATATTGGTTGCAACTGCATCATTGCTATGGCTTAAAATCACATTATGGTTCCACTCGGCACACATCCAAGGTTTTGAGGGAAAAAGCACGAATTGTTAAGTGGGGCAGTGGTAGGTATAGTACATAAACCGTTAGAAGAGGAAGCTAATGTTCCCAGAGTGAGTAGCTCCCCTACTTCAAATATAGGTAGGCTGAGGAAGAGAGAGGAGAGATTTAATCATCTTCCTCCAGAGTTGTTTTTTTTTAAGAGCTTGATTATGATGCATATGAAACATTTTAAAGTTTCAGTGCTACCTATAAACCTGTTCCCTTTTTGCTAATTGCTCTCCATAAAACTAGATCAAGAAGTAGGACTCCCAGCCCAGTTCAAGTTCTAGCATGCCTGCTGGGTACACGTTCAGAGTGCCTAGGTGCTATCTGACGGGCCCTCTGGAAACAGATAGCCTGATGGATAGTGATAAATAGGCAGATGCATTATATTAATAGGTAAATGGCCTTGCAAGGAACTCAAGGTGATGGAAAATAGGATACAGTAAACAGTTTGTCATCACAGATATTTCCTAAGAGAAAATGCTTGGGAGGGAGGAGACACCATGTTGCACCTGCATGATTCATCAGCACTGCGGGCTGCTCCAGCAGGGACCCACACCAGCCTTCTAACACCTTTGAACTGGAATCTGAACAGCTGTGTCAATGGCTGATACACAAGAGCAGGAATCCAAGTGAACCGGCTTGCAGTCAATTTCCCCCGCGTTAGTGGCAATCCATAAACAAGGTGACTGTGGGACATCCCTGAGTCTTTTGCCAAGGATTTCACGAGAACAGCCACCAGCCCTGATCTTTGACTCTGCGACACTTTAGGAAACCAGGAGATCCATGGGCTGGCCAGATCTGAGTAGGACCTTGGAGCTCTTCCCCTGGATTTGACAATTCCGATGAGTTGGTCTCAAAAACGTGTGCTTGTTCAGGGCATCTTTCATACAGAGTGAGGGGCTTAGATCCTTGGTTCTTCCTCATCACAGCATCTAACAAGCCTGACAAAGTGTTGTGTACCTTGTGTGAATCCCGCCCGCTCCAGTGGAAGCCTATGGCTTCTGTTAAATCTTAACGTGCACACTCCTTCACAGAGAAATCCCTTCATGGACCCACAGTGGAATATCTGCTAGCTCGTTTGTAATCCGTCCCAGTTTTCTATAAGAATGGCAATCAGTGCGGATGATAAAAAACCAATGCTTTTGGCTTACACCACCAAGCCCTTGTGAGACGGCATGATTTGTGATGAGATACCATTGATTCTGTCTAGGCCATTCACACATCATCACAGCAAGCAGAATCAAAGCTCTTACGAAGGCTTTTAAGGAATATGTCCCTAAAACACTGATTTATTAAAGGACTCTCTCTGTGCAGTATTTGGAAGGTAAGAAGAAAGGAGGGTGTGTGTGTGTGTGTGTGTTTGTTTGTGTGTGTGTGTGTGTGTGTGGTTTTAAGGTGTTAGCACTAACCTGCTGACAACAACTTTGGATCAGATGTAGCTTTCCCAGTGGTTCTTATGCCAGGATCCATGATTTAACACACAGAAGGAATGGCGCAATGTGCCTACAAAAATTAGAGTAACTGATCACATGAATTTTAGGGTCATGAGAGAAAGGTAACTGATTGCATCTCTCAGCAATTCCATCAGAGTTTCACAAACATTTAAAAGATGGCCTTTTTACATCCTTGAAGATGAATTCTGCAAGAATTACAGTACCAGAAAAAGAGCTCCTCAAGTCCCAGCTCCCAGGCCACTGGAAGGTGACCTAACGTGCAAAGATTGAGCATGTCTCTGAAGTGGCTTATCGCTAAGGATTAAAATAGCATGGAAAGTCATTTCTCACTTGTTTATTTGGAGGAGCAAAATGTATGCCAGCTTTTAAAAAATAATAATGATTATTTTCTGAATTTTACTACCTGGTTGATACTTCTAGGCAGGCCACAGCAAAACTAGTTGGGACTAGACATTATATAATTATTTGTAAAGCTACTTTCTGGATTTTGTCAGGTGTATTTCTCTAACTTAAATAATATTGCATTTGTAAAGAAAAGACCTAAATTTCTCACTTTTACCAACAGGTTAAAGCTTTAAAAAAAATAGGCACAACTTAAATAGAACATTGGGGAATAGCAGGATTTCATCGGGGCTGTTGAAAGGCAAGAAATAGGCTAGGTGCAGTGACTCATGTCTGTAATCACAGCACTTTGGGAAGCCGAGGTGGACAGATCACTTGAGGTCAGGAGTTCGAGACCAGCATGGCCAACATGGTGAAACCTCGTCTCTACTTAAAATACAAAAAAAATTAGCCAGGCATAGTGGCTCACACCTGTAGTCTCAGCTACTTGGGAGGCTGAGACATGAGAATTGCTTGAACCCGGGAGGCAGAGGTTGCAGTGAGCCAAGATCACGCCACTGCACTCCAGCCTGGGCAACAGAGCGAGACTCTGTCTCAAAGGAAAAGAAGAAAAAGAAAGAGAGGCAGGAAATGAGTTCTTGGATAGAAAAGAGTCAGATGCCTTACCAGCATCCCCCTTGGCATGGCACTGCAGTTTCCCTCCCCATCTCAGCGTCTCATGAAAGCAAATCATGAATTTGATTCCTAAAAAACTATAGCTTGACTGATAACAGCATTACAGAACATTGAATGTATTCTGACTTCAAATGGATTCGCTTTCTTTGATTAAGGAAAGGAAGTGACTTAGATGACTAAGTAAAATGTAATAGCATCCTGGAAGAACTAATATTCCCAAACTAGTTCTATCATAGGTATGGATTCCAATCCTGTATAATGTGGAAAATAGGTACACCATCAGTACTAATCAGCAGAGAATTGACGGTGTCATGCCCAACAACTATACTCAACATAAAAATTGTGTCCAGAAAATAGTTGTATGGGAGGCCAAGGTAGAAGGATGGCTTGAGGTCAGGAGTTCGAGACCAGCGTGGGAAAACAAGACCCAGTCTCTACAAAAAAATTTAAAAATTAGTCCGGTGTGATGGCATGCACCTGAAGTCCTAGCTACTTTGGAGGCTAAGGAGGGAGGATCACTTGAGCCCAGGAGTTGGAGGCTGCAGTGAGCCATGATTGCACCACTGCACTCCAGCCTGGGCAACAGAGCAAGACTCTGCCTCAAAAAAAAAAAAAAAGTTGTAATAAAACAGTCCCTTCTTAATGTTCTTCTCTATTAATTTGGTACAATTCTCACCCCTAAAATGAACTATTTTACCTTCATTCTCTCCGCAGATGAATCTGGAGATCAGGAATATGAAGGGAAACATTTGCCTACTTTCAACAGAAGGATAGTCTCAGAATTGTGCATTCTTTTGTTGTCCTATATGCTCAAAGCCAATGAGCACTGTAGGGAAATAAACATGTTTTCAGAATAACCATTTAAGACCAACTGAACCTAAACTAACAGGACTAAGAATAATATTGTCATAGCTATTCAAACTGATTCTGAATCCCACGGGAAGTTGTAGATAATTCCTATCACATATCACAGCAATCTCAGCTTCTCAGCGATGGGAGATGATTAACATTTATCGAGAATCTTCTATGAGCTACACACTGTACAAGGCATTTTTACTTGTATTTAATCCCCAATCCAAGGTTGATGTTCAGCTGGTCTGCTCCAGTACAAAGTCCTGGCCGACGTCCAGTACAATTGGCCAGATATCACTTCTGATTGGTCTGTGTCCCTAATGACCCCTCAAGAGTACGGTTATTATTATCTCAATATTTACAAGTAAGGAAACTGGAGTTCAGTGAATAACTAACTTCCTGAGGGTCACATGGATTTTAAGGGAAAACACAACTGACCTCTTCTTACGCTTCGTTTGTCTCTTTAGGGACTCTATTTCATGTTTTTACTCTGCCAGGAAAGTTGAAGCTGGATTTTGGTTTCATTTTTCCCCAATATATGCTCAGGGAGGTGAATAGTGTCACTCGAATACCCTCACAACTATTCATTGAGGACCCTGTTTATAAGGCAATTGAGTATGGCCTATTATGTATATATGAAAGGGATTTTTATTTTTTTAAATATCTTTAACAACATTGAGTACTTTTTTTTTTTGAGATGGAGTTTACATTGTTTCCTTTTTTCTTTTTTTCTTTGAGACAGAGTCTTGTTCTTGTCGCCCAGGCTGGAGTGCAGTGGCGTGATCTCGGCTCACTGCAACCTCTGCCTCCCGGGTTCAAATGATTCTCCTGCCTCAGCCTCCCGAGTAGCTGGGACTACAGGCACCCGCCACCATGCCTGGCTGATTTTTGTATATTTTGTAGAGATGGGGGTTTCTCCATGTTGGCCAGCCTAGTCTCAAACTCCTGGCCTCAAGCGATCTGCCCACCTGGGCCTCCCAAAGTGCTGAGATTACAGGTGTGAGCCACAACACCCAACCATTATGAGTATATCTTCATTTAGACTGAACAAAAATAAGAAAGATTGGTGTGCAGACATACACGCTGAACTGTGTGTTTGGTTTCCCAAGGGTTATGAGGTCATTCTTTTGAGAATCCATAACCCAATTCTTATATATCTCAAATTCATATTTTCCCTCCTTGGAGAAATAGCCCTGAAACAGGAAGACTTAGAAGCCTTATCTGCTGGGATTGAAATTGTAACTGTGACTCTGTGGTGTCTCTTCCTAATTTCTTTCTTTTTTTTTTTTTTTTTTTTTTTGAGACAGGATCTCACTGTCTTGCCCAGGCTGAGGTACAGTGGTACAGTCACAGCTCACTGAAGCCTCTATGTCCTGGACTTAAGTGATCCTCCCACCTCAGACTCCCAAGTAGCTGGGACTACAGATGCAAAACCACACCCAGCTAACTTTTTTATATTTTGTAGAGATAGGGTCTTACTGTGTTGTCCAGCCTGATCCCAAACTCCTGGACTCAGGCAATCCTCCCACCTTGGCCTCCCAAAGCATTGGAATGACAGGTGTGAACCATGGCATCTGGCCAGTCTCCTCCTAATTTTAAAGTCGGCCTGAGGACGAGTGAAGTGACAGGTCACGATGATGAGCTCCCCTTCAAGTGTCGCCCCTTGGATCTTCCTGTTCTTTTGTTCTTTAGGTAGAAATCAGTCCTAAGAAATTTTGTAAAAGCCCATAACTCTCATCAGCTCCCTTGTCCCAGGTTATTCATACAGACATGACAAGAATTAAAGGTGCTCACTGGGCTTCTGTTATTTCCTTTTCTCTTCTTTATTTTCTTTTTTTTTTTCAATGTTTTGCATCAAAAGTGTGGTTTTTTTTTCATGGACGCTTAGCAGGTTTTAATTTTATAAAACATTGTGCAACCAGGTACCTTAGGGAACAGTAATTAACTGGGATTATGTTTTCGTTTCAGTAAATTTTAAATGAGAAGACTAAACACTGATTTTCGTCTATCACCAAATGGGAAAACACACAGCCGTGCTCATTTCTTAAGTATATTCCTTTGCTTATGATAAACATTTTCCTAGTGCTATTTGCAATTTGCCCCCTTGCTTAAACAGGCCATGCCATGGATTATTTAAAATAGTGAAAAATGTTTACTTTTAATTTTAATACATGTTCTTGGCTGTCTCCAATCTGCCTTCTTCCCACCAGGGGCTGACAACTACCCCAAAACAAGCTAGAATATCTATTTTTTACTTTTTTATTTACTTATTTATTTATTGAGACAGGGCCTTACTCTGTTGCCCAGTGCAGTGACATGATCACGGTTCACTGCAGCCTTAACCTCCTGCATTCAAGCAATCCTCCTCCCTCAGCCTCTCAAGTAGGTGGGACTACAGGCATGCACCATCATGCCCAGCTAATTTTTTTTTAATGTTTTGTAGAGAAAGGCTCTCACTACATTGCCTAGACCGGTCTCGAACTCCTGGCCTCAAGCAATCCACTCGCCTTGGCTTCCCAAAGTGCTGAGTTTACAAGCATGAGTCACCTCTAGAATATTTATTTAACAAGAATTTTTTTGCGCATCTGCTGTGGGCCAGGCATTGTTTCAGGTGCTCTGTATTGCAGTAAATACAGCATCAGTTTCAAGTTGAACTCAAGATCACTTCAAAATGAGGATTAGAAGATGAAGAACTGTGGTTGCCTCTAAATTATATACTAATTATAAGTTCAGAGAAAGAATAAACCTTACTGGTGTGACATCCCTGCAAGGTAGTAGCAAGCCTTGGAGTTAACTTGATTCAAAATCCAGTTCTACTATTTCCTAGATATTGATCTTGGACAGCGAATTATTTCCCAAGCCTCTTTCTTCATCTGTAAAATGGGAAAAATAGTTTGCCATCCTAGGTGGCTATTGAAGCATTTAGTGAGATACTGATACTCAATATGTGGCAACTATCATCCTCCTCATAATCATCAATCACATGAAACTCCAAGGAAATTTTCCAGTGGGCAGAAAATAGCCACTAACTTGCAGCTATTGCTATTCTGTCTACACAGTGAGAAGTCTCTGATGGTAACCTCTGTAGAACAGATCTATATGCACACATAGGTTAAGATGATGTTTTTATCTCTGGCCTATGTCTCTCGCATCTTGTAACCAAAAGATCACAATAAAGTTTTAATTTGAATAAATTCTATATTATGTCAAGAAATAGTCATTAATAATGAACATGTCCTATAAATGATTTTCTTGAAGAGTGATTTTATTAATTTCAAGTTCATAAGGCAATCAAACTAACCTGGGGTGATTTCTGCTAGCAGTCCTTAGGCAACCTGTTTTAACCAACAAATGGGAGAGATTTATAGTGAACCTGCCAATTGCTTCTCTCTCTGTGGGTCCACTCTCACAAGGCTTTAGGTACAGAAAACAAGCTTGTCTGCTCATTCACAGTGTTGATGTCTGTGATCTGTGCAGAGTTTGCTGTATAAAGACACAGCTCATCTTGATGCCTGTCTGAATTTTAACACGTTTTTAAATTTTTTTCAGCTCTATTGAGGTATGATTGCAAATAAAAATTGTATATATTTAAGGTGTACAATATTATGATCTGATACCCATATATATCATGAAATGTGAGTAACACAATCAAGCTAATCAACACATCCAACACCTCACATAGTTATCCCTTTTTTAAAAAACACTGAATAAAGAAAATGTGGCACATATACACCAAGGAATACTATGCAACTATAAAAATAATGAGTTCATGTCCTTTGCAGGGACATGGATGAAGCTGGAAGCCATCATTCTCAGCAAACTAACACAGGAACAGAAAACCAAATACCACATAAGTGGGAGCTGAACAATGAGAAAACATGGACACAGGGAGTGGAACATCACACATCAGGGCCTGTAGTGGGGTGGGAGGCAAGGGGAGGGAGAGCATTAGGACAAATACTTAATGCATGCGGGGCTTAAAACCTAGATGATAGGTTGATAGGTGCAGCAAACCACCATGGCACATGCATACCTATGTAACAAATCTGCACATTCTGCACATGTATCCTAGAACTTAAAGTAAAATAAAAAATAAAATAAATAAATAAAAATAAATAAAAACATTTTTCTTTTTAAAAATTTTTGTAGCTTATTCTCTATTTTTTATTTTTCATTTTTGTGGGTACATAGTAGGTGTATACATTTATGGGGTACATGCAATGTTTTGATATAGGCATGCAATGTGAAATAAGCACATCATGGAGAATGGGGTATCAAAATCACATTTTTCTTAATAAAGCTCCACTCTGGTCTCTGTACTAATAAGAAGACAAGCAAATTCTGAAGTGATTTTAACCAATTAGGATCATTATCTCAGAATGGAATGAAATGTTCTTGTTTGTGGCCTCTTGAAAGGAAGTACATGTGTCCATCTTGGTTTGGGGAGACCCTTGCACCAAGGCAGGGAATAAAATGAATGCCCTTCGGTTGTGCAGCCATGACTCTCCTAATGCAGTTTGGTGGCCAGACTTTCGGGAAGTTCATAGGTTCAGACAGTTCAAGTGGGTCTCTGAAAAATGGGCCAAACGACTGATGTCCAGTGTAGGATGAAAACAATGAAGGTGTCAACAAGTCACTCTCATCTGCCCATTAGTGCATGTCCCCCAAGGACTTTTAGCGGGCCATATTGCCAACTTGAGCTAGATTACTAGCTTGGTTGTTAAGAGGATGTAATAAAAAAAAGGCATTTCTTCCAATAAGTCTGTTTCTCATGTAGTTTTTAAATAAAAGCACACCTATAAAAAAAAAAGAAAGAAAGAAAATACTTTTGCCCCACTTTTTGAAATGTGACCACAAACTATATTCTTCACCCCAGATCACTCTCCACACCATCACTATCAAAGGCTTAGGTGACAAAATAACCTCAACTTCAAAACCATGTTATTTTTCTCTATGCTTCTCCCTTGAAAGTTAGTTCTTAGAAGCAAGAAATCTCTATTTGAAGTTTTAAACTTGCAGCATAGAAGTATAACCTTAGCAAGAAACAGAATATTTAAAAAATTTTACACTAGTATAACATCATGAGGCTTACAAGTAATGTTACATCAAACATTTTGTTTGATACATTATTCAATAAAGATCGACCCAGTCACTGCTATTCAAGTACTAGTGGGAGGCACCAGACCTGCAAAGCAAAGGGGATCCCAGTCCCCAAAAGGTTCACAGTCCACCCTTGAGACAGACAGGATATTATTATTCTATCCATTTTGGGTGAAGGAGGCTAAGGGACATGTCTAAAGTCACATAACTAGAAAAAACCCAAGCTGGGCCGGGTGCAGAGGCTCATGCCTGTAATCCCAGTACTTTGGGAGGTTGAGGCAGTGGATCACCTGAGGTCAGGAAATCAAGACCAGCTTGGTCAACACAGTAAAACTCCGTCTCTACTAACAATACAAAAAAAATTAGCCGGATGTGGTGGCAGATGTCTGTAATCCCAGCTATTTGGGAGACTGAGGCAGGAGAATTGCTTGCACCTGGGAGGTGGAGGCTGCCATGAACCAAGATCACGCCACTGCACTCCAGCTTGAGCAACAAGAGCAAAACATCATCTCGAAAGAAAAGAAAGAAAGCAGGAAAGAAAGAAAAGAAAGAAAGAAAGAAAGAAAAAAGAAAGAAAGAAAGAGAAAGAAAGAAAGAAAGAAAGAAAGAAAGAAAGAAAGAAAGAAAGAAAGAAAGAGAAAGAAAGGAGAGAGAGAAAAAAGACAGAAAGAAAGAAAGAAAGAAAAAGAAAGAAAGAAAAAGAAAGAAAGAAAGAAAGAAAGAAAGAAAGAAAGAAAGAAAGAAAGAAAGAAAAAGAAAGCAAGCCAGAAAAAATAAAGAAAGGGCCCGAGCTGGAGTTAAAATTGAAGTCTTTCTTCATTAAGTACTCTGTTCATTTATTTCTACAAGGCTGCCTGTGCATGCTCTCCCAATGGAGGGACTTTCTCTGACTCTCACTGATAGAAATCTTCCTCATGTAGTCAACACTAGAAATTGGTTGGAAATTAATGAGGATTCAGCATAACTAGAGTTCCTTCTGAAAAATACATTTGTCCCATATATGCCCTGAGTTTAATCTCAAGCCTACTGCAATATAAGCTATAACCCATGTGTAAAGTGCCAGGAGTTTCTTAAAGGTTTTTGTGTGGTGCAAACTGGAGGAAAATGTTTTAAAATTGTTAAGTGGAGTTTTTTCTGCCTCATCTATGTAGATTTTAATGTGCAGTGGATATTATCTGACTTTCAAACATCTCTTTCATGGGACTTTCAAATATTTACTCTTCAAGAGTAAATATGATAAACTTGTCATATGCTCAAAAATAATTTCATTTATTTTTAAAAGGCATCATAAAGAAGCTTTCTATTTTATCAGCATAAAAAAATATGATTTGCCAAAGAAAGATTCTTGCCTAATCAAGGGCATAAAGGAAGCATCTCATTAATTTGAGGAAGACATTATGTCTATTACGGCAACATCTTAATTGTACTGCAAGAAAAATAAAGATAGCGTTACATGAACAGGAAAGAAACCTCTGTGTTCTATATGCCAATCAGTCACAGGAGCACACTAAGAAGAACTTCTAAGATATAATAATTGTTTTCATAACTCAGGAACTCCCAAGCACATTCAGCCTAGGCTATGGCATTAGTCGCATAGCCTAATGATTATGTGCAAATCCTTCTTGAAAAAGCCACGTTCATCAGTTTTACACGTGTTTTTTGTGCCATTCTTGTTGCCTTTATTTTCTCTTATACTTGTAGCGGGGATCTCTGAGTACCTTTGTGCCCTCTTCTGATTCTTGCCACTGGGACTTTTTCGGCATCTGGTTCATAACATTTCTCGTTTCCGTTGTAATTTCTCTGATACAGATAAAAACAAAAGAATGGAGTCAATGCAGTAAAATGTCATCTAAAGAGACCTTCAGAACATCTTGATATTGTGTTGATATATCTCCTGCCACTGGAGCCAGGTCTAGATCAAAACAGAAGAGACAGTTACTAAGGGCACTGTTCTTTGGAGGACAGCTACAAGGTTGTAATGGGTGAGGAGAGCAAAAATAGCCAGGCTGCAGTGGAATAGTGACTGCCATGCAAAGAGGTAGAGGGAAAGTTAAGCACTGTCCAATATGGCAGCCACTTGCCACATGTGGCTAGGTGGAGCATTCAAAATGTGGTTAATCCGGCTGGGCTTGTTGACTCATTCCTGTAATCCCAGCACTATGGGAGGCCCAGGCGGGCGGATCATTTGAGGTTAGGAGTTCATGACCAGCCTGGCCAACATGGCAAAACCCGGTCTCTACTAAAAATACAAAAATTAGCAGGGTGTGGTGGTGTGCTCCTGTAATCCCAGCTACTCAGAAGGCTGACACAGGAGAATCACTTGAACCTGGGAGGTGGAGGTTGCAGTGGGCCAAGATTGCGCCACTGCATTCCAGCCTGGGCGACAGAGTGAGACTCCATCTAAAAATAAAAATAAAAAAATTTGGTTAATCCAAAGTTGATGTGCTGTAAGTAAAAAATATACACAAGATTTCATATTCAAAGAAAACAAAGAATGCAAATATCTCTCTAATAAATTTTGTATTGATTACATGTTTTTGTTTGTTTGTTTGTTTGTTTTTGAGACAGGGTCTCACTCTCTCACCCAGACTGGAGTGCAGTGGCACAATCTTAGCTCACCACAACCTCCGCCTTCCAGGATCAAATGATCCTCCTGCCTCAGTTTTCCAAGTAGCTGGGATTACAGGCGTGTACCACTACTGCCTGTCTAATTTTTGTATTTTTAGTGGAGATAGGTTTTCGCTATGTTGGCCAGGCTGGCCTCAAACTCCTAACCTCAAATGATCCACCCACTTCAGCATCCAAAAGTGCTGGGATTACAGGCATGAGCCACCGCCAGATTACAGTTTAAATGAGATGTTGGTTATCTCGTGCTAAAGTACACTACTAGAATTAATCTCACCTGTTTTGTTTCACTTTTTAATCTACTAGAAAGTTGAAATTACATACATGACTCACATTATATTTCTATCAGACAGAACTGTTATTGACTGTCTAGCTTGTCTTATCTCTATCTATCTAAAACAACAAACACATCTGAGGATCAGAAAATAGACACATTACTCTGAAGCATTCTGTCTTGGCTGAGAGATCCCAAAGGGCAAAAGAAAGAAACAAAGGTTTGATTAAGGAGACTTGCCTTCACTCTCATGCAATCTTTCTCTTCCTCCCAAGCAGAAATGGCCTCTTAAATGCTCTAAGAAGAGCGTTGTTGGGACAGGCATGGTGGCTCATGCCCTTAATCCCAGCACTTTGGGAAGCCAAGGCAGGAGGATCACATGAGTCCAGGAGTTCGAGACTAGCCTGGCAACATAGCAAGACCCCATCTCTACAAAAATAAAAATAATCAGCCAGGTGTGGTGGTGCATGCCTGTATTCCCAACTACTAGGGAAGCTGAGGTGGGAGGATCCCTTAAGCCCAGAAATTCAAGCCTGCAGTGAGCTATGATCACACCATTACACTCTAGCCTGGGCAACAGAGTAAGGCCCTGTCTCAAAAAAAAATAAAAAGAAAGAAAAAAAAAGCTGTTGTCACAATACTTTCCTTTACAGTGTCCTAAATAAGATCAGAAAGAGCCTCCAAATCAAGAAAACCTCAACTCTAGAGAGGCTTACCTTCTTAGAACCATAACATTCCAACAACTATCTAAACTTGAAGGTGATGAGCCAATCTAAAATGAACAATTAAAGTTTGAAAACACCATTTCTAGATCAGGGTTCAGCCCTATGCTCTATGTGGCTAGGAGTATTTAAACCTTGGACCACGTGAAAAAATGAAAGAACAGTCATTCTCAAAGCATTTTAATCCTGTTGAGATAGTTTGGGGAAAGAGCTTCTCACACTTGGATGCCATATGGAAGAACATCAACGCACTTTTGTTAGCAATTACTCTAAAATAGCTTTGGGTCTAATTAGTGACACTTGAAGTGCTCATCATAGTAATCTGTAGTTATCAAATTTTCATCAAAGAGTAAGACAGATGCAGAAATTTTAAAAATGGAATGAATCAGTTATGTCATTTATTTGATTACAGGTCACAAATAAAATCTGGTATTAATGGCTGGGCACAGTGGCTCACACTTGTAATCCCAGCACTTTTGGAGGCCAAAGCGGGTAGATCATTTGAGGTCAGGGGTTCGAGACCAGCCTGGCCAACATGGTGAAACCCTGTCCCTACTAAAAATACAAAAATTAGCTGGGTGTGGTGGTGTGTACCTGTAGTCCCAGCTACTCAGAAGGCTGAACCAGGGAGGCAGAGGCTGCAATGAGCAGAGATTGCACCACTGTACTCCAGCCTGGGCAACAGAGCGAGACTCTGTCAAGGAAAGGAAGAAGAAGAGGAAGAGGAAGAGGAAGAAGAGGAAGAGGAAGAAGAAGAACAACAACAAGAAGAACAAGAACAAGAACAGGGACAAGAACAAGAACAAGAACACGAACTAGTAGTTAGAGGCTTAATATTTTCTTCACATAATCAGAGATCTGCAAGTGGGCCATCCATAGCTGATGTTGCTGCTCTGGGCTGCCATCAGGGATCCAGGCTCTTTTTTTGCTTTGTAATGGAGTCTTGCTCTGTTGCCCAGGCTGAAGTGCAGTGGCACAGTTATGGCTCACGGCACCCTCAATCTCCTGCACTCAAGCGATCCTCCCACCTCAGCCTTTCAAGTACCTGGGACCACAGGAGCACACCACCACGTTCAGATAATTTTTTTTTATTTTTTGTAGAGATGGGGTCTTGCTCTGTTGCTCAGGCTAGTCTCAAACTCCTGGGCTCAAGCAGTTTTCCCACCTTAGCCTCCTAAAGTGCTGGGATCACAGGAGTGAGCCATCACGCCCATCCTGGGCTCTTTCTACATATCTGCTCAATGACATTTAGCTAGTACATCCTCATTGTCACACTTGTTACCTTGTAGTTACAAGATGGCTGCTGAATAGCCAGATAGGGGTATTTGCTGTTTCAGGAAAGCAAAATCCCTCCCAGAAACCCTCAGAAATGAGCTAAGGGTTTCTGGGAGGGCTTTTGCTTTGCTGAAACAGGAAATACCGCTATCGGGGCATTCATTAGTCAGAACTATGTCACATGACCTGTCCTGAGGGAAGGGAGGTTGAATAAACAAGTGTTTTTTGCTGGGCTGGCCTCTGTCCCCCAGGCTGGAGTGCAGTGGTATGATCATAGCTCACTGCAGGCTTGAATTCCTGAGCTCAAGCGATCCTCCCACCTCAGCCTCCCTAGTAGATAGGACTGCAGGCATGTGCCACCACACGTGGCTAATTTTTGTAGTTTTATTTTTGTAGAGGTGAGGTGTCACCATGTTGCCCAAGCTGGTAAGGAAGAGGAGGATGCTCTTGGGTGGGCAATAGCAGTCCTGCCACAGAAAGATCTGCAAAGGTTATTCAATCACCTTAGACACAGTGAACCTCAAACATCTAATAACACTGACCTCTGACAAGTATGAAAAAGTGGACCAAGAAAAGTATACAAACTCCCAAGCACCCATCAGATTTATATATCTGGGGAGAGGCAAATAAGCCTGAGAGCTATTTGGGGACTAAGCACTTGAAATCAGATTTTTATTGATTTAATGATGGTTTTATGAACAATTGGTATAACTAAATTTGAATAATAATGGGCTCATTTGATGATTATCAGAATAGTATTGAACAAATAGCACTGGATTCTAAAAGGGCATCTATGAGTTTAATGGCCAGGAAAACAATTTGTAAGGGAAGAGACTAAAGGAAAATAACCTGTTGAGTCCTGGTTTTCTTGGAATACTGTCTTTCAAGCAGCCTCTCTAACAAATTTTTAAGCATTTGCCCCCAAGGAATATATAAATAGTCCCTTCCAGTCTGGTGATTAGAATGGTGTCAGTTGAATCACTGAGGTACCACAAATATTGTGAGCCTACCAGGAGGAAATGACATAGCCACTCTGGCCATTGATCCTGGGGCTCTATGAGGCATGTCCTTAGAAGACCAGGAATGTGATTTGAGAGATTTCTACTTTTTTGAAAACCTTGCAAGGGGGACAAGTCTTAGAGCAGTGTTTTTCAAACCATGGCTCTTGAATCACGTGAATTGTAAAAGGAAAATTTTTTAAAAGAAATAGAATTGAATAGAATAATAGAATAGAGTGGAGTCCATCATGTGCAGTAAGGATGGTATCACTCCAAGAACATTCCATGTCAATTATGTATGTCTGTGTGTACTGGGCACCATGTAACATGAATGTCTTTCTGTAAGCCATGGTCAAAAATGTTTGCAAACCCACTGCTGACCGGGTGTGGTGGCTCACCTCTGTATTCCCAGCATTTTGGGAGGCCAAGGTGGGAGGATCACTTAAGTCCAGGAATGCAAGGCTGCAGTGAGCTATGATTTCACCATTGCACTCCAGTCTGGGTGACAGAGTAAGACTCTGTCTAAAAAGTAATAATAGTAAAGAGAAGCCACTGCTTTTGCAGTTTCAGGACACCTAAGAGAGCCATTAGCACAGGTCACCAAAACGAAAACACAGCCCTGAAAACAGTATAAAAACTCAGAACAAGAAATGAGCCCAAGAAAATGGAAGTCAACATAGGGTAATGCAACCTCCACATCTCAGCATGAATAAAAAGTAGTAGGAATAGCAATAGAAAGGATAGCAAATCTTTATCCTATCATAATTTATCTTCATTCATGGTGAATAAGAAAAGATATGACAATGGCGAACAAGGAGCCATGGCATCCAAGAAGAAAACGACACCAGTCTGAAAGGACTTTAGAAAAGCAGAAAGACTGCAATTCTGACCAGCCTTCTATGAGACTTGCTACCTAGAGAAAAAAGATCAGCAGTTAAACAAGACTATGCTTGCAGGAGTCCCAGGTAATTAGTTGTGTTTCTGTCTCTAAATTAACAGTTACTGCACTGTGTTGTTTTTACTCTTCGCAAGTAATTACTTCTGTTGTTTTCTAAAGTCATGAGTTAAAGAACACTGTCAGGAACGTTTCATGAAAATGCCTGATATGGTGGACCTAATATTTTTTCCAGAATTTACCATGGGAATGAATGCCCTGTAAGCCAGCACTCCATCACCATTACCCTGGTACTAACTGTTTTACACGTAGCACCCAAACAGAAAGTGGCCCTGGACGAGAACTGCATGCTGTTTGCATAAGCCATGTTGAGTGGCTCCAGAAAATTTAATGATCAGATGCCACAAACCAATATCCTGTAAACATTTCTTCAGTATTTATTCAGGTAAGAAGCTGAGCTGTGGAATCCTCTGCTGCCAAACTCACATACCCACTCAGCAAATGCAAAGTTGTAGGGTTAACCAGACCTGTGCCTTTGAAGGTGGTTTAGCTACCACTTAAGCCTGGCCCTTGCCTCAAGCAGCTTCTAACCAATAGAGTATTTTCCCCGAGGTAAATTCTATAAAATAAAGTTCTCTCCATCTTATCACATTTCCAGTGATTGTCAAGCTCCTCTTTTAGTTGGATCCAGCCCAGCCTGCTCCTGATCTCTCTTTTTCTCTACTTTTCTCTAAATGTCCCTACCACTTGGGTAAAGTCCTTGTTCTAGCCTCTGCATGAAACAAGAGAGTCGGTGATTGTCAATGGTCCACAGTAATCTTCCCATCACAACCAAGGTGCCAAGACCGGGCTACTCTCTCCTCCATCCACAGATTCTGCCCTGCTAGGATTTCATTACCCCCTTGATATTTGCTTGACCAAACCTTAGCTACATAAAAATGTTTACGATAGAAAAAGGATAAGCTATGATATGTGCAAGTTCTAAAGAAAGCCCTTAGCTATTACCCTCCTTGAGGAGTCTGTATTTTCTGAAATAAAACAAAATCCCCTTTTAAAAAAATCCAGGAAAGTATAAAACTACTTAGGTAAATACCTAAATGAGCTTTGAAAAAAAATCAATCCTAATGCTAAGAAAGATCTTTGTCAAATTCACAGCAATTGAGTCAAATTTGTCTACTCTTGTAGACAACTATTCTCTCTGTGTGTTTAGCCACCTGGATACTGCCACCACCACCACATGTGCCCAGCCATTTATTTGGGAACTGCTCCTTCTCCACTCCAGTTGAACCTGTGTCAAGCTACTAATCAGATGCTCAAGCCCCCACCAGAGGAATGAACCAATGGCAGTCGGGGGCTATCACTGAGATTGTTTGAACTGAAGCCTATTGGGTAAAGAGACAGATGGATGTGCACAGGGAACCATAGTGGCTCTCTTCCCTATTTGAACCAAAAGTCTCTCTGAAGGAGAAGAGGAGGAGGGCAACTCCAAGTAACAAACAAACCCAAGAAAGAAAGAGCAAGATGATGACCTTATATGAGTTTCTGAATGGAGTTGTTTCTAAAGCCAGACTTCCCAGCCAATGTGTTAGCCACTACATTGCCTCTTGGCTTAAACTAGGTGGCGTTGAGTTTCTGTCACTTACAATCACATGAGTTCTGTTTGAGGGTCCTTGTATATTTCTCCACTCTAAGCCTATGGCTTACTCTGACAGATATATGCATACTACCCGCTCAACTTCTCTGAGCCAAGACTCACTTACCATGTTTCCTCCTCTAGAAAGCCTTCTTTGACCTTCCAGGGAAAGACAAGCATATTCTCCCATTTTCCCAGAAGGCCCTGTGCCTGCCTCTTTCCAGCTCTTCTCTCCTGGTCAGTCTCTCCCTTTAGACCATAAGCCTCTGGAAAGACTGATTCACCCTCCTTTTTACATCCTTAGGTCCAAAGCTTTGCATGGCACATGACAGATATTCAGTAGAAGTCCACCAAGTAATGTTTGTTACATGAAAGCCAAAGAACTTGCCAATATGAGATATTCAGACAAAGAAATAGCTCTCTATAGAACTGCCACTAAATAATATCTTCTGATTTAAAAATGATAGGTTAAATACAAACATCTCCCTGGTGAACTATAAAAGTTATGGACCTATTTTCTTTCCACCTTCATCGACTCTGTAAGAATAAGGAAATATCATTTATAGCTAATTTTTAATTAAGGTTTCTATTTGCTCAACAAATATATATATTGAGTACTCAATATTAAACTCTATAAATTCAAAAGTGAGATTGTCACTATTTATGTCAGCCATCCAAAATTGAACTTATTCCATCATGCCATTGGATGAAGGAAACTAGGTTTACAAAATGGGATACAGGCTGGGCACGGTGGCTCATGCCTGTAATCCCAGCACTTTGGGAGGCCAAGATGGGCAGATCATGAGGTCAAGAGATCGAGACCATCCTGGCTAACAGGGTGACACCCCGTCTCTACTAAAAATACAAAAATTAGCTAGGAGTGGTGGTACGCACCTGTAGTCCCAGCTACTCGAGAGGCTGAGGCAGGAGAATCGCTTGAACCCGGGAGGCAGAGGTTGCAGTGAGCCGAGATGGTGCCACTGCACTCCAGCCTGGTGACAAAGCGAAACTCCATCTCAAAAAAAAAAAAAAAGAAAAAGAAAATGAGATACATGCAGATCAATACTTCTATTTTCTCTCTTTGATGCTTTTAGATCTTCCAAATTCTTTTAGAATTTTCAACACTGTAAGTACTGTGTGCGTGGCTATACTCTGATTTTGCATCATCAGAAGCCTAGAAGTAGGCAAATTAAGGAAGACAAACTCACCATAAGGTTTGCAACCTGTGAAGTCTGTGGTGAGCCCTAAGATTTTTAACATGAAGTACAACTGGCATGTTTTCACTGCTGCCATTTCAGGGCAATAGCAGAAGTCTGAAAAGTATCTTCATAAAACTGTCCATAAAACCAGATAGTTATCTCCAGGATTTCACTATGCTGATCATGTAACCAGATTCATCTGCTTATCAACCCACTCATCATTATCTATCACTACATCTAGGTGAGAGTAGCACAGATCTGGAATATTCCATCAGGGCAAAGGTGTCTTAGAGGAGAGGAAAACCCTAGGGGGACCATAGTTGTGTCATTTTTTTAAATGACAGACTAACAAACATTTATGGTGATTGCAGGGTGACCATTAACACAATGGTAAGTACAGATAGTAATAGATTCTAAAGATCACTCTGCTCTTTCAGCCAGAGGACAAGTGATTATCAAAATTAACCCAAGCGAAATGAATGCAATTCGAGGTAAAGTAAAATAAAACCCCTCAGGAGTGTCCAGGAAAATCATATAAAATTCTATTTTCCTATGGACCAGTACCCCAAGTTTTGAATGTTTTCTCTACAGAGAATTCATAGTTGTAATTCTACTGTTAAATGTGCCAGCAGTTCCCAAAGTGTGGTCGAATAAGCCCTATGGGTCCCCAAAATAGGCTCAGGGGGATGAAAGGGCCTCTGTTTTCCAGCTACATAGACATGTGAGGCCACCACCAACAGAATGCAGACATGAAAATCCAGC
Source organism: Homo sapiens (assembly GCF_000001405.40). Classification (NCBI taxonomy): domain Eukaryota; kingdom Metazoa; phylum Chordata; class Mammalia; order Primates; family Hominidae; genus Homo; species Homo sapiens. The sequence goes on along the minus strand of NC_000010.11, from coordinate 8,206,522 downwards.
TGTTTCCACTGAATCCAGACAGTAAAGAGATGTATAAAATGGAAAACAAGGTCACTCTTCTCACTAATTTTGTTTTACTTTGGAAAACACAATTATTTCTCATAAAAATATATTAGTTATGTTACTTCATATGTTTTAATTTATTAGAGTGACATTTAAATAAATTTTAAAATAAGCATTTTTAAAGCATTCTCTTTAAAATTCTAATGGAGTAAAAGCATAGATATAACACACATAAACAAAAGCAACTGTGGTCCTTAGTAATTTCTAAGAGGGTAAAAGGATACTAACATCAAGAAGCTTGAGAACTACTGAAATATACATTCTAATTAAATTTTTCAGTATCATTCCAAATAGTTTGATGCCTCTTCTTTTTTCTTTTTTCAAGTGGAGATGGGGTCTTGCTATGTTACCCAGGCTGTTCTTGAACTCCAGTGTAATGGCTCAAGCGATCCTCCAAGCTCAGCTTCCTAAACTGTTGGAATTAAAAGTGTGAGCCACTGCACCTGGCCTTTGATGTCTTTAAAGCTACTGCCTTACCAGTTTCAAAACACATAAGAGAGCCATTAGCACAGGTCACCATAAAGAAAACACAACCTCGAAAACAGCAAAAGTACTCAAAAAAAGAAATGAGCCCCAAAAAATGGAAGTCAACATAGGGTGATGCAACCTCCACACTTCAACATGAATAAAAAGTAGCAGGAATAGCAACAAAATAGATAGCAAATCTCTATCCTATCATAATTAATCTTCATTCATGGAAAAGATATGGCTCTTGAGAAAAGAGACAAGACTGTTTTCTTAAGCCTTTTTTTATTCTTTATTTTTTCTTTTTTATTATTTTTTGCTTGTATGTTTGTTTTCAGAATCACCATCTGTTCTGATTTCTTCTTCTTTTTTTTTTTTTTTTTTTTTTTTTGAGACAGGATCCCACTCTGTCGCCCAGGCTGTAGTGCGGGTGGCACAATCTCGGCTCACTGCAACCTCTGCCTCCTGGGTTCAAGCGATTCTCATGCCTCAGTCTCCTGAGTAGCTGGGATTACAGACATGTGACACCACACCCAGCTAATTTTTTGTATTTTCAGTAGAGACAGTGTTTCACCATGTTGGCCAGGCCGCTCTTGAACTCCCAGTCTCAAGTTGACCCACCTCGGCCTCCCAAAGTGCTGGGATTGCTGGTGTGAGCCACCGTGTCCCTCCCACTCTAATTTCTTCTTAACTTTATGTTTCATCAGTTCACTAAAGAGTAAGCCAATACAGGAATCTTACCAATTCAGCAGATTAAGTCACAGTAAATAAACAGTGCTTGACAGCCTACTAAGTGCAAAGTATTACATAGGTACACAAAGACCAAGGCAGATATCTATGTGCCAAGTCCTTTCCTGGAGATATTTGCTCTGTAGTAAATTTACAGTATGTAATGCATACAACATTTTCCTGGATTTAGATCAACCATGTGGAAGGGTTCACCTCTGAGCACATACAAGAGAAAAGCCAGAATTTCTTAGAACAATTAATTCTGTCACCTAAAACAGGAACCTGATTATTTCCTTCCAGGGCTTTGTAAAGTGTGTGGCTCTTCTCTACCATGTTGATGGATGGTCTTTTTAATCATAAAAGGACAAGCCGAAACACAGATTCCTAATTTCAAATAATATCAGCACACTTCACATAGACACGCCCATTGCAAGTGGCTGTGACGTAACCTCTTATTGCACATGATGCTTAAGGAGTGACCAGTTGTCTTACTTCAAGGATATTGGAAGACCAGAAAGTAACTATGCATAAAACAAACAGGAAATACGAAGAATAACAGTCTGGGAACAAAATTTCATCACTGGGGTCTTTCAAAGCATGTTGTCAAATGTCTATAGAACTATGTCCCACTTGAACTCAGTTTGAGAGATTTCACAAAATCCACCTAAAACATAGTCTGCACTTTCCCATTCATTACCATGACAGCAAAAATATTACATAAAGGTGACCTATCCAGAAAACCTTTATACGCCTCGTACCTTACAAATATGTCCTATGAATTTCTTTAAATGTGTGAAAGATGGTTAATAATTTTTTTCTTTATTATTTAGAAACGGGGTCTTGCTCTGTCCCCCAGGCTGGAGTGCAGTGCCATGACCTTGGCTCACTTCAACCTCAACCTCGTAAGCTTAAGCCATCCTCTCGCCCCAGCCTCTCAAGTAGCGGGGACTACAGGTGCATGCCACCTCAACTGGCTAATTTTTGTCTTGTTTTTCCAGAGATGGAGTCTCATTATGTTGCCCAGACTGATCTCGAACTCCTGGGCTCAAGCGATCCTCCTGTCCCAGCCTCCCGAAGTGTTGGGAACATAGGTATGAGGTACTGCTCACAGCGGTTAATCATTTTCCAAACAAATTATGGGAAATTAGTAAATTCTAACCAGTTAGTTGTAACTTACATTTTATTTTATATTATTAGAGAACTAAGTTCTGTCCATGCTTCTTTACAGATTATTATTTTATTTTATTAAAGAAACAATTTGTGGATGATTTCTAGAAACTTCACAGTACTCTAGGATAATTACACAATTTGAAATCATTTCAGATAATTTGGTATGGACAGAATTAAGGAAAAAGCAGCTTGTGCCTCTGGATTTTTGTGTAAAAATAAGTTATTGTTTATTAAATATAGCTGTTTAATAAACATAATCAATTAGGTGATAAATGCTTTCCACATATTGGGTGCAGTATTTGGCTTGGTGGTAAAAATGTGCTGGTAACTACCTTGTTTATTAACTGAATTTTAATGGCACAATTGTTAAGAAATTATAGTCAGACAATAAGCCCCATTCTGTAACTCTTGTTATTTTAGAAGAAGGTAACTCTTGTTATTTTCAGAGATTTTCCATGGAAATAATGATCAGTCTTGGGAATATAGGATGAAATTCAGTTAAATCTCCCTCTTCCTCCTCTTCCTTTCCTCAACTTTCTCTCCCTCTTTCCTTCAACTTCTCTTTTTCTATGTCTCCTTTTCTCTTCTCTCAGTTCATCATTAAATATTTTTGTGTGCACTTCGCCACATTATAAGACCTCGAAATTATTCTATGTGCTTACCTGGTTGGCAATTGGTCCCTGTGCCACATTCGCAGTGAGAAGATAAGCTCTTAGGCTAAATCTTGGCCAAAGACTGGCACATAAGCGAAAATCACTTCTTGTATCAAATTATATTTTTTGCAAGTCTTCAAAATTAGTGGGACCTCATAAACATCTCATGCCATTGATGGCAAATGCCATCAAAGACTTAAGGTAAGATGATTTTTTCAGCTCTAGAATGCTACCAGCAGAAGGCCAGATTACACCTGCTGAGCCGATCAGAAGAGCACAAACTTTTCCATTGTTTGAGAGCTTTTCCTCAAATCTCAAAATACTGGGATTTCTGTCATGTTTCTAAAAGCTCAGTGATGCTCAACATCACTAATCATCAGAGAAATGCAAATTACAACCAGAATGAGATATCATTTTGTAGCCAGAACGACTATTATTAAAAAGTCAAAAAATAACAGATGTTGGCAAGGTTGCGGAAAAAAAAGGAACACTTATACACTGTTGGTGGGTATGTAAATTTGTACAGCCTCTATGGAAAACAGTATGGAGAATTAAAAAACTAAAAATGGAATCACCAGTCAATCCAGCAACCCCACTACTGGATATCTACCCAAAGGAAAAGAAATCAAGATATCAAAAAGATACCCGCACTAATATGTTTATTTCAGCACTAGTCACAAAAGCAAAGCTATAGAATCAACCTGTAGGTCCATCAACAGATGATTAGATAAAGAAAATGTGGTATATATACACCATGGAATACTATTCAGCCATAAAAAAAATGAAATCATGTCTTTTGCAGCAACGTGGATGGAACTAGAAGCTGTTATCTTAAGTAAAGCAACTCAGAAAAAAGAAAGATAAATACTGCATGTTCTCGGCTGGGCACAGTGGCTTATGCCTGTAATCCCAGCACTTTGAGGGGCAGAGGCGGGCCGATCAAGAGGTCAGGAGATCACGACCATCCTGGCTAACTCGGTGAAACCTCATCTCTACTAAAAATACAAAAAATTAGCCAAGTGTGGTGGCACGTGCCTGTAATCCCAGCTACCTGGGAGGCTAAGGCAGGAGAATTGCTTGAACCCAGGAGGCAGAGGTTGCAGTGAACTGAGATCCTGCCACTGTACTCCAGCCTGGGTGTCAGAGCAAGACTCTGTCTCAAAAAAAAAAAAATATACTGCATGTTGTCATGTATAAGTGGGAGCTAAATAATGTCTACACATGGAAATAGAGTCTGGAATGACAGACACTTAGGCCAGGAAAGGTGGGAGGGTGAGAGGAGGTGGGAGATAAAAAATTACATAATGGCTATAATGTACATTATTCAGGTGATGGATACACCAAAAGCCCACACTTCACCACTACACAATATGTCCATGTAACAAAACTACACTTATACCCCTTAAATTTACACACTAAAACATAAAATAATTCACTAATGCACTTTCATAGGCCAGAATTGGCAGAGTTCTTTAAACTCTCTCTATGGAGGCAAATGGAAACACAGAATTAAATCTAAAAAAAAAAAAAAAAAGAAAAGTCATGTCAAAAGCAATAGACTGACCCCCTTTCAGCTTACACAATGCACCGAGACACAGACATATTAAGTCAAGCCTGGAGCTCCAAGCACTTCCAAAAGAAAACTTTTCCATAAGTAATAGCTGACACTTGTTTTTTGAAACTTTTTCACAAAAAGGAGATTTGAAGTAATTTTCTAAAGAGTTCAGAAAGAAAATAATTTTAAGGCCTGAAATATCTGGACGTAATGTGCCAAAGTCGTTTACTTTCCAAATGATTTAAATGAGGGATTCAATTTTTTATTTTTATTTTTTGCTCATATAGGAACATCTCTGAAATTTTTTGTTGTTTATGTCTTCAGAAACAATATCACAAGTATGCTGTGAAAAAAAAAAATCCTTTATCAAACAACCACACTTTAAATATTTACTTAAACACCTACTATGTTTCATCTGTGCTATGAAACAGAATGGTGCATAGAACACGCTTAGAACTTTGCCTACAGTTCATTCCTCCTTTGCTAAAATCACCATCCTTTTTTTTTTTTTTTAGACGGAGTTTTGTTCTTGTCACCTAGGCTGGAGTGCAATGGCGCAGTCTCAGCTCACTACAACCTCTGCCTCCTGGGTTCAAGTGATTCTCCTGCCTCAGCCTCCAGCATAGCTGGGATTACAGGCGACCACCACCACGCCCAGCTAATTTTTGTATTTTTAGTCGAGATGGAGTTTCACCATGTGGGCCAGGCTGGTCTCCAACTCCTGACCTCAGGTGATCCGCTTGCCTCGGCCTCCCAAAGTGCTGGGATGACAAGCGTGAGTCACTGCACCCTACCTTCTTTTTTAAATAAATCTTTAAATTCAAAATCATGTATTCGTCATAATGTGATAAAAATCTTAGAGTTGAAATGGACGTTAAACGTCATGTAACCTACTCTTTTAACACAGTAAAATTACCTAATGATTTTCACAGATGACAGTACTATGCTTTTATAAAGGCCGTTTTGCAATTATAAAATCAATTATAACTGACCTATGGAAATATCTCTCAAGTGAGTTTCTAAGTCCTTGAATCTCATATTTTTAAATTTGTACATAAACTCATTATCCAGGAAGCGCGGATTGAATTACTCCTATTGGATTTTCTTGGCAGCAATCTCGTCTTTTCCGAGCAGTGCCCTGCCAAAATCTCCAACTCCCACCTAGTGTCACTCCTCAGAAAGCCATCATATCTTTTATCAGTTCACTAAACAAGAAACCAACTAAAATCAGTTTTTTTAATCAAGTAAGTAACTTGGAACATTTAAGGTATAAGTCACTGCATATTTAATTATTATTATAAATTAAATATATATAAATATATATAAATTAAATAATATATATAAATATATATAAATTAAATAATAGCCAATACGCTATTTATAGAAAGCAACAGAAATAGGTTGCGTGAAGAATATTTACTTCCGAAGACTGCTTCAGAGCTTACATCACAATAATCTCCTTTACCTATGCCTTTGCTTTCCTGTTGTGTCTGCTTGGAATTATTTTCAAGCCCAATGAGACCCCTCCTCCTTTGAACAGGACCACCATAAAGCATTCTTGGATCCTGCCAAGACGCTGCTAAGCACAGACTCCTCTGAGCACACGTATTCACTGCAGTCCTTACCACATAGTTCTGTAATTATGAGCTCTTACTCATCTTTCTATCCTTAAGTACCGGATACTGTTCCTCTGCAAGAGAAATATCCCCCTGAAACTCCTAAAGCAGCAGCTCTGTGAGTGCGGTCCTGGGACCAACAGCACCATCTGATTCTCTGTATCACCTGGGAACGTATTATAAATGCACATTTCCAGGCTCCACCCTGAAACTACTTGAATCAGAAACTGGTGGGAGGCCTGATGCGTGACCCTGTAATCCCAGCGCTTTGGGAGGCCGAGGCGGGCTGATCACCTGAGGTCAGGAGTTTGAGAGCAGCCTGGCCAACATAGTGAAACCCCGTCTCTACTAAAAATACAAAAATTAGCTGGACATGGTGGCATGCCTGTAGTCTCAGCTCAGGAGGCTGAGGCACAAGAATCCCTGGAACCTGGAAGGCGGAGGTTGCAGTGAGCCGAGATCGCGCCATCGCACTCCAGCCTGGGCAACAGAATGAGACTCTGTCTCAAAATAAAGAAACTCTGGTGGGGGGTCGGGGAACAGTGAGGAAGGGACAGCAAGGTGGGTTGTAACCAGCTCTCCAGGTCATTCTAATGCATGCCAAAATGAGGGCTTTATCTCTGAAAGAAAATTTCCCAGGTGGGGAAATGCAGCTGATGCGAGGATTCTCAGCCCTTTTCCCTGGACTTTAATCTTGTCCTTGGGATTCTGTCACTCTGACCCCACTCGCTGCTATCACATGGATTTTCCTTGAAAACTCTGACCATCAACCAAGGAGGATGGTGTGTATTTCTTCATGCCCGTTAGTTTAGCTGGCACAAGCCACGATTTTCAGACTTTTCTAAATGCAAAGAAAAGCAAAGGCTTAAAAAGGAAGAAAGAATAGGAAACAAAGCCCAGTGAAATTTGCAGAGCAGCTGATTATCCTGCAGTTAACTTTAACCAAAGAGAATGACTGTCCTACTCCACGCCCTTTCTGAAAAAGAAGCAATTCTGATATCCTAGAATTCCAATAAAGTGGCCGTCTCAGATACCCTGCCAGCCAAGTCATGTTCCCAAACACAGCCTCATACAGCAAACCCACCTGGGTGACGCAGAAGTAGCTCTGGAGGTACAGACATCAGGGGGTCTGCCTGACCAGCAGAGACTTTTGAGCAGGTTATTAAAGTTTTTAACCTCTCTTTTTGCTTCCATAAAATGGAGATAATACGTTTTATACATGATCTAAGAGCTAAATAAGATTATCTCTGAAAAGGCACTTTATAAGCTGTGAAGCGTTAAGGCATCATGTCATATCTATATGATAGGTGTGATATAGTGTATCATACATAGAGAGACATTATATATAGTTACATAAAATCGATACATAATATTAGAAACATGTATAATTATATTAAGGTTTGCTTACTGTTAATATTTACATGGCAAGTATTAATCATATACCCAAAGATCAATATAATTAATTAAGTTTATAAAAACAGTAATAAATTTCTTTTCTTCCTTTTTTTTGAGATGGAGTTTCACTCTTGTTGCCCAGGCTGGAGTGCAGTGGTGCAATCTCGGCTCACTGCAACCTCCGCCTCCTGGGTTCAAGCGATTCTCCTGCCTCAGCCTCCCAAGTAGCTGGGATTACAGGCACGCGCCACCACACACAGCTAATTTTGTATTTTCAGTAGAGACCAGGTTTCTCCGTGCTGGTCAGGCTGATCTTGAACTCCTGACCTCAGGTGATCCGCCTGCCTCAGCCTCCCAAAGTGCTGGGATTACAGGCATGAGCCACCGCACCCAGCCTTCAAAAATAGTAGTAAGTTTCAATGTCTGATAAACTTTGATTTTTACAATTTTATTGCATTCTCCTCCCTTTAAAACCTTTTTTTTTTTTTTAGACAGTCTCACTCTGTCGCCCAGGGTGGAATGCAGTGGTACTACCTTGGCTCACTACAACCTCTGCCTCCCAAGTTCCAGTGGTTTTCGTGCCTCAGCCTCTTTGAGTAGCTGGGATTACAGGTGTGTACTACCATGCCCGGCTAATTTTTGTATTTTTAGTAGAGATGTGTTTTCACCATGTTGGCCAGACTGGTCTCGAACTCCTGACCTCAAGTGATCCGCCCACCTCGGCCTCCCAAAGTGCTGGGATCACAGGCATGCACCACTGCACCTGGCCCAAAATCATATTTTTTATTGGAGAAATTATGGGAATTTTGAAAAAAACAAAAAAAAGTAAAAACACTTGTAATATCCTAGTCGGAAATTAAGTTAATATTTTCCATTTTTCTATACATCTCTGGTATAGAATTATAACCATATAGTAAATAGTGTATTGTAATCTGCTATCTTCACTAAGCAACATATCCTGAATCTTTTTGCTATTTGGAAACATTCTCCCACGGAACTATTTCTATTAGCTACATAGTAGGCTATCATATGGATACACCAGACTTCATTTCACCAGTACTCTTTGTTAGACATTTGGATTGCTTCTAGGGCTTCACAGTTTAAAATGTATATTTCATATATTTATCCTTTTTCTGTCGCTATTTCCTAAGAGTAAATTATTAGAAGAGAAGCAGAATTGTTAGGTTTGTGTTATGAGCACTTTTAAGACTTTGAAATCTTAGAGCCAACCTGCTGTACCAGAAAGTTGCATCAATTTGCACTCTTGCCAGCGGTAAATGAAACTCCTTCATTTCTCACATTGTTGGCCAATATAGTGTGATTATTTCTTTGGGCTTTGCCAATTTTGTAGGGTTGCAATGCTATCATATTTTTATTTCTATTTACATTCATTTGATTACAGTAGAAGTTGATATAGGTAAGTTGTTGAGAGTATTTTAGAGTTAATAAACCTCCAAATGAGACTATTTTAAGCTTAAAACAAGAAATTCAACATTTCATTTATCAGAAAGAAGCATATAAATAATGTTTATTATAGGTGTCACTAAGATCAGAAAGGCTGACTGCGGTGGCTTACTCCTATAATCCAGCACTTTGGGAAGCTAAGGTAGGAGGATCACTTGAGCCCAGGATGTTGAGACCAGCCTGGGCAACATAGCAAGACACCATCTCTGCAAAAAAGGATAATAAGTAATAAATAAAAATAAATTTTAAAAGAATCAGAGCCAGGTGCTGTGGCTTACACCTGTAATCCCAACACATTGGGAGGCCAAGGCAGGCTGATCACATGAGCCCAGGAGTTACAGGCCAGCCTGGACAACATGACAAAACGTGGTCTCTACAAAAAAAAAATACAAAAAAAAAAAAAAAATAGCTGGGCTAGGTGGCATGCGCCTTAGTCCCGATTTCTTAGAAGGCTGAGGTGGGAGGATTGCTTGAGCCGAGGAGGTTGAGGCTACAGTGAACTGTGATTGTGCCACTGCACTCCAGCCTGAGTGACAGAGTGAGAAATAATTTAGATAGTATAACTACAGATTGTAAACAATTAAATTCATGTTATGGATGTGTATGTAAACATGAATATAGATTATATAGATAGAGAGAGAGATCTGTATCAAATGCAACTTTATCCTTAGGATCTTTTATAGTTCAATTAAAGGCCGTTTTATTAGGTCTTTGCTGGTGTTTTAATGGGTATCTTCATGCTAGTCCCACAAACACCCCTAACATATGGTAATATCAGAGGAGCAACATGGCAGATGCAAGAATTTAATCATAAACAATAATGGCAACCTTGCCTTCAAACCACTGTCATTACAGTGATAGCTCTAATTTGCATCATTACAATTTGTTCATTCTTTTCCAGGAGGATTACATTTTACATGCAGCTAAAAATTGAATCCTGCAGGGTGTAGTGGCTCACACCTCTAATCGCAGCACTTTGGAAGCCAAGGTGGGAGGATCGCTTGAGTCCAGGAGTTCAAAACCAACCTGGGTAACATAGTGAGACCCTGTCTCTACAAAAAGAAAGAAAAAGAGAAAGAGAGAGAGAGAAGGAGGGAGGGAGAGAGAGAGGGAGACAGGGAGGGAGAAAGTTTAAAACCTGAATCTTTGGCTGAGCGCAGTGGCTCATGCCTGCAATCCCAGCACTTTGGGAGGCCAAGGCAGGCAGATCATTTGAGGTCAGGAGTTCGAGACCAGCCTGGCCAACATGGTGAAACCCCATCTCTACTTAAAAAATTAAAAAATAGAATTCAAAATTAGCTGGGCATGGTGGCACATGCCTGCAATCCCAGTTAGGAGGCTGAGGAAGGAGAACCACTTGAACCTGGGAGGAGGAAGTTACAGTGAGCCGAGATCATGCCACCACATTCCAGCCTGCTGGGCAACAGAGTGAGACTGTCTCAAAAAGAAAAGAAAAGAAAAGAAAAGAATCTTCAAGATTTACGCTGCATTTCTTAAAACCTGCATTCTGCTTCTCTTCTGCACTTTATGACCATAATTCAAAAATGAGAGCTTTGTATCTTTGTAAATGTGATCCAAGTTAATCCCAAGAAGCTCCTTATGTTCACTAAGATGAAGAGGGTCCCCCACAGCCATTTGACTGAGGATTTACTAATGCCTTTATTTTCATTTTTTGGCTTATAAGTATAAAAAACAGAAGTGGAACGCTTATAATCCCAGCACTTTGGGAGACCCGGACAAGTGGATCACTTGAGGTCAGGAGTTCGAGACCAACCTGGCCAACATGGTGAAACCCTGTCTCTACTAAAAATACAAAAATTAGCTGTGCATGGTGGTGCGCACTTGTAATACCAGCTACTCTGGAGGCTGAGGCGGAGAATCGCTTGAACCTGGGAGGCAGAGGTTGCAGTGTGCTGAGATCACGCCATTGCACTCCAGCCTGGGTGACAGAGCAAGACACTGTCTCAGAAAAAAAAAAAAAAATTAGCCAGGCATGGTGACGCACACCTGTAGTCCCAACTACTCAAGAGGCTAAGATGGGAGGATTGCTTGAGCCCAGGAGGTAGAGGCAGTAAGCCAAGATTGTGACACTGCACTTCAGCCTGGGCCACAAAGCAAGACCTTGTCTCAAAAAAAAAAAAAAAAAAAAAGAAAAAAAAGAAAGAAAAGAAAAGAAGCAGAGGTTGACCATACATCCAAAAGAAACATTCCCTATTTGTAAGTTTTTAAATAGTACCACAGAAAAAGTAAGCAATGAGCTTTCTTGAAGTAAATTAGCCATCACATGTGGCATAGCAGTGGACTCAGAAGTTAGAGATGATGAGTAAGAAGACTCAGTGAGGTGAAGGCTGAGAGAGAACATCTGAAACGTAAAAAAGAAAAGTTTCTTGAAAATCTACCATGTGCTATGTAATGGGTATGGGGTTTTACATAAATTGACTAGTATTTCAAATGCTGGTTCTCCAGGGAATATTACATGAGTTGTACAGTACACATACACAAAATATATGCCCAAGGGTTATGTCTCCATAGGAGGGTTCCAAATTGCTTTTGGTTTTTGTTTTGTTTTATTTTATTTTATTTTTTGAGACAGAGTCTCACTCTGTCTCTCAGGCTGGAGTGCAGTGGTGCGATCTCAGCTCACTGCAGCCTCGAACTCCCGGGCTCAGGCTATCCTGCCTCAGCCTCCTGAGTAGCTGAAACTACAGATGTGCACCACCGTGCCTAGCTATTATTTTTTTTTTTTAGAGATGGGTTCTTGCTATGTTACGCAGGGTGGTCTCAAACTCCTGGGCTCAAGCAGTCTGCCTGCCTTGACTTCCCAAAGTGCTGGGATTACAGGTGTGAGCCACATGTTAATAATATGTTTTTTAATACTAAATACATGGTAAATTATAATAATGGTAAAAGCGCACTCCCTCAGACAGATTTGAAGTACAGGAAAATAGGAAATCCTGATTCTACAAATACAAGCTCTGGGTACAAATTTTTTCAGTGCTACAGGACAGCATCTTAAGCATGTTTCTGATTTGTTACCATTTTCTTAGATGAGTCTTTTTAGGCCCTTGGCACTGCTCTGTGGGTGGAGACATAGTTGCTACATGCGCAAATACAGTACACCTGAGGACAAAGCTTGTCAAATCACATCAGCTCCTAGGTGGGTCTGTTACCTGTTGAATTCACATGAGAACGTCGTTGCTCAACCCTGTACCCTTGCGTATTCCTTAAACCAGTTTGGCTTTAATTGGATTGTATCTAAGCGAAAGGTGTATCTACTCAACATTTACGTGGAGTGCTCTAAAAGAAGGCTTTTCATTTCAGTCGTATTCTGGTTTAATTCTATCTCTCAGGAAATAAGGAGTCTTCTTCAAGATAACCAATACTGTTTGCATCTTAAATCTCCTGCCCTCTGTGACAAGCCCTACTCGGTCAGCTAGAATTAGGGAGAACTACTAGGAATGCGCTCTGCCCTAAAGGCAGTTTTAAATGTAGGTGGGCTTATCCCCTGAATTCAAGGCGTGATGTAGGGGGACTAATCCCCTGAATTCAAGGTGTGTCGTGATTCTTATGCTGTTTGTCCATGAATATGGGTGCTAAGGGCTAAAGACTAAACAGCAAAGGAATGACACACGTAGTATTTTCCTGGTTAGTCGGAGTTATAGAATTTTAGAAATGGAAAGAATCCCAGATATTTATCTAGACTGATTCTCTCATTTCCAGGTAAGAAACCCACCTACAAAGGGTATGACTCACTCAAATTCACACAATACATTAGGGAAATCAATCCTTCTCTCTGCATCAAGAGAGTAAACTTTTAAAAGATAAATGATACAGAAAATACCCTCCCCCAAAGTGGTTTCATAGAGAGTTATGTTTAATAATTTGGTGAAAATAAAGCAATTATTTAAAAATAAAAAACTAGGAGACTTCCCCACAGTGTTTACTCCCTTTATTTATTTATTGTCCCACTGAAACTTAATTTTTAAACATTTTATTATGAAAAATCTTAAATGTATACGATAACAGAAAATGGTCAAGTGAGCCCTTGGGTACACATCAAGGGTCATCACTTATCAAACCACGACCAATCTTGTTTAATCTAAACTCTCCGCTCCATCTCATCATTTTTGAAGTGGATATCAGACATTCTTGTCATTTCATCTGTAAACATTTCAGAGTCTATCTCCAAAAGTTAAGGATTCTTTTTTTAAGCATCACCATGATACCATTATCACTCATAAAAATTTAACAATAACTCCTTAATTTAAATAGATTTTTTAAATTTACATAAATTATCCTTGGCCTTAGAATTGTGACATACTACTACAATTTGATAAATACTGCTTCACTGATTTATTCATTCAACAAATAGTGGCCAGGCACGGTGGTTCAGGCCTATAATCCCAGCACTTTGGGAAGTCAAGGCCAGTGGATTACTCGAGCTCAGGAGTTTGAGACCAGCCTGAGCAACATGGTGAAACCCTGTCTCTACAAAAAAATACAAAACTTAACCAGGCATGGTGGCATGCACCTGTAGTCCCAACTACTTGGGAGGCTGAGGTGGGAGAATCGCCTGAGCCAGGGGAGGTTGAGGCTGCAGTGGGCCATGATTACTGTAGTGGGCCATGATCACTGCAGTGGGCCGTGATTAAGTGCAGTGGGCCGTGATCACTGCACTCCCGCCTGGATGACAGAGTGAGGCCCTATCTCAAAAAAAAAAAAAAAAAAAAGTAAATACTTAGTGAGCATTTATAAAAACACCCACATATGTTTTATTTGCATGGAAGGCTGGGGAGGAGGCCTAGATTCTTACTTCTTGAAAGAGAGCAGAGAATGGAAGGAGAAAGAATTCTGGAATGAGGCAGAGTTGAGTTAATAGCTGTGTAAACATAAGCAAATTTCTCAATCTCTCAAAGCCACACTTTGCTTATCTGTAAAATGGAGATAATGATGCCTATTAGCAAAGCTACTAGGAGGGCTAAATGAGATTAGATACATAAGGTTACAGAGCCCAGCACAAGTCAACACTCAAAAAATAGCAGCTCTTTTTCTCTCAGACACTTTTGAAAGATTGAGTTACTAATATTTGTTCAATCAGATTTATTAGCTTTAATTAATTGGATATGTACTTTAAGGCTCATTGTTCTCTGAGTTGTACACACAATGCTTTAAAATAACTAAAAGGTCTATTCTCACTTATGTTTTTTGTTTATTTGCTTTTAACTTATATTTTAGAGACAGGGTCTTGCTCTGTCACCCAGTCTGGAGTACAGTGGCACCATCATAGCTTGCTGTAGTCTCAACCTCTCAGGCTCAAACAATCCTCATAGCTCAGCCTCCTGAGAAGCTAAGACTACAGGTGCACGCCACCACATTTGGCTAATTTTCATATTTTATTTTAGAGATGGGGTCTTGCTATGTTGCCCAGGCTGGTCTCAAACTCCTGGCCCCAAACAATCCTTCTACCTCAGCCTCCCCAAGTGCTAGGATTACCAGCATGAGCCACTGCACCTGGCCTATTTCTCACTTATGAAAACTGAAAGCCAGTGTATCAATGGCCAGAGAGGTCCAAGAATTATCAGAGATTTGTTAAA